>NC_000001.11:207123980-207275496 GCF_000001405.40 Homo sapiens
GGAGTCATCCTCTCCCACAATGTGAAAGTAAGTAAAGACTCTTCTGACTTGACTATCAATTTAAACTCTGTTAGGTAATAAAGTCCCTGTGCATCTTTACAGGTATGTGTACCTTCCATTAGAATTTGCATGAATTTTAGATTTATCATGATGCCTTCGCTGAGTATTTCTTTCTCTTCACTCACTTACCTCAGTTGTCAAGTGTAAGCCTCCTCCAGACATCAGGAATGGAAGGCACAGCGGTGAAGAAAATTTCTACGCATACGGCTTTTCTGTCACCTACAGCTGTGACCCCCGCTTCTCACTCTTGGGCCATGCCTCCATTTCTTGCACTGTGGAGAATGAAACAATAGGTGTTTGGAGACCAAGCCCTCCTACCTGTGAAAGTAAGTCATAATGATGAATTCTGCATCAAAATGTTTGCTCTCTTTTGTTTAAAAGAGAAAGAAAGGTAAATTTATTGGGGGGCAAATGGAAAATTCAAAGATAAACTAACTATCGCTCTGATGCAATCATTTATTTGGCCACCTGATACTTATTGCATGTTTGTTTAGAATATAAAAGCCATAAAAATGGGAGTGGTGAACTGGGAGCTAACAGTATATGGGAACAAACAGCAACAACATCTCACTGGTTTGGTGAAGTAAAAGTTTATTCTCATTTACACTGAGTTTGTTCCATGTCCAGGAGACTCTCCAGGGCAGCCGTAGTCTGTGTTAGCTTAGCAACTAGCTCAGCAAGCCAGGTTGCTTTGATCTTATGGCACCTCCATTTCAAAATGTGCCTTCACAGTCTCTTCAGTAGACGAAGAGAGAAAGGCCAATTGTGTCCTGGCTAAGAGCTTTGGCCTGGAAGCAACCACATATCACTTTCCATTACAGCCTTTTGTCTCAAACTAGAGAGTAGCCTCAGAGGACTGGGGAATGTAGCCTTGGTCTGTTCAAGAAGCGGAAATGAAAATATAATTTGCACCTATAAGATGAAACACATATGCCTGTAGGGCAAGCAAAACCTGAGTGCCAGAAGGGCAACAGGACAAAGCAAGTGATAATTGAGTCAAAAGATATGTTAGTTAGTGTGCTAGTCTAAGGAATCTTACTTTATATTACTAAGTTTACACAGTATTGCTTACTAACCCACCACAGGACACAATCAGACGAGGGGCACAAAAGAGCAGGATACTGCCAACAGTGCAAAATGCCTGGAGTTAGATCTGCAACAAGTGAAAGCGGCAATAGCTGAGGGCAGAAAAGTGGGCAGGGGCCAGGTTATGAAGGGCCTTGTGTTTCAGTCTCAGGCATTCAGAACAATCATGGAGGGGAGACTTTGAAAGGCTTTAACAAGGGGAATAAATGTGCTGCATTTTAGAAAGATAACTCTGGCTGTGGGACAACAACCTGAAGTGGGACAAAACTTAACTGACAGTCACCTGCTATGGCTTGAATGTGCATCTCCAAACTCATGATAAAACCTAAGACCCAATGTGATCGTTTTAACAGGTGGAACTTTTGGGGAAGTGATTAAGTCATGAGGGATCCACCCTCATGAATGGGATTAGTGCCCTTATAAAAGAGGTTGAAGGGAGAGCGCTAGTCTCTTTTGCCCTTCTGTCTTGTGAGGACAGAGCTTTCATCCCTTCCCCCATGTGAGGACGCAGCAAGAAGGCACCATCTTGAAAGGGGAGAGCAAGCAGACATTGAATCTGATGGTGGCTAGATCTTGAGCTTCCCAGCCTCCAGAACTGTGAGAAAGAAATTTCCATAATTTATAAACTAGTGAAAGTATTTTGTTATAGCAGCAGGAACAGACTAAGACAGCACCTGTGCAACCCTCCAGCCAAAAACTGAAGGTGGCTTCAGCGGTAGCATGGCAGTGGGGCTGGACAGAAGTTAAGGGATTGTAGAGGAATTAAAGTAGCAGAATTGCCAGGACTGGATGACTGCCAGGATGTGGGTGAGGGGTGTGAGATAGGGGGCGGCTTGTTTTCTGCTTGTCGGGGCATGGGTCTCTGATCCCCTGGGCTGCCTCTGCACTATGTAATTACCATGGGCCACGGACCCATAACCAAAATCATCTAGGAAATTAGGCCATTATACTGAAAGTTTTGGGGGCCTTGGAAATATGTTTCTGCTGGGTTATGTATGACTGATTTTTATTGGTAGGGAAGTTGGAGGAGCTATCCACAGTCATCTCGAAGAAGGACCAATGTAATGAAAACTCATTTTAAAAGCTGAAATTATATATTTTATATATATACACACACATACATATGTGTATATATAAATATATATTATATCAAATATAAAAATATATAATATATAATACTATTGGTATAGTGTTATATATTCTATAAGACTATATTATAGAATATATAAAATATATAATAAGTATCATTAACATAATATAAATAATTTCAGCTTTTAAAAGCCTCAGTAAAATGAGTTTCCATTACATTGGTCTTTCTATGAGGTAATTGTGGATAACTTCTTCAACTTCTCCACCAATAAAAACTAGTACTGAAAGGATTACATATATATATATATTATATATACAGATATATATGTATGCGTTTGTGTATGTGTATTCACTTTAAAATGTTTCCCTTGTATCTACTTGACATGCACATTCAACAGGCATTTGTGTTGCACTTGTAACTGGATTAGCAGTGGCAGTAATATCCTTATTACCATCTATCTTTTAAAATCCACTTGTCTTTTCTCATGATTCTTTAGAAATCACCTGTCGCAAGCCAGATGTTTCACATGGGGAAATGGTCTCTGGATTTGGACCCATCTATAATTACAAAGACACTATTGTGTTTAAGTGCCAAAAAGGTTTTGTTCTCAGAGGCAGCAGTGTAATTCATTGTGATGCTGATAGCAAATGGAATCCTTCTCCTCCTGCTTGTGAGCCCAGTAAGTATGGACTGTGACAGAATTTCAATGTTTGGCATCTAAAGGTACCCCGTACTGTTAATACGGGTATACTTGCATGCATAGGCCTACTATGAATTACAGTAAAAATTTACATCTAGATCAATAATTTCCTTTATTTTTTTCTTGTTGGAAAGAAGAATGATTTTAGTGCACTCTGCAAGGTCATATATTGTCACACAAAACTGCCACATACCACAAGACTGTGCACATTCCAACCTTAAAGGGAGGTGTTAACATTGTAGATACTATGGATTTGTATATTTATTTCAATAATTTTATGGAATTTGATAGAAAATTGTCTTATTCTAACAAAATCATTATATTATTATAATTACTTTGAAAGACAAATAATAAATTGTCCTGAGGAAAAATGCCTTTTATAACTTGTACAAAAGTATTGTGTGAACTGGTTATGATTCCAACACTCTGAAGTTATAAACTCGTGGATTATTAAAAATAATGACAATAGTAATAATGATAACTTGGCACTAGACTAGGTGCATAACAAGGATTAACTCAACAAATCCTCCCAACAATTGTGGGCACTATGATTATCCTTATGTTACAGATGAGAAACTGTTCACAGAGGTTAAAAGACTTGCTCAAGGTTATACAACTGGTAAGAGAAGGAAGCCACTGATGCCTTGTGCTCTAAGTTTTGCCCTCACGAAATGTCAAGAACTTCTGGGGATTTCTGGAGCAGTGGTGGAGGAGTTTGGGGAAACCTCTCTCCTGAAGAGGTATCCACCAAGCTGGTCAAAATTAGCAAAGAAAACCATTCAAAGTCTCTGGAGAGTGATCAAAGGGATTACAACAAACCGAGAAGCATTTATTCAGCAAAAATATGGAGACTTGATAGGAACAGTGGGAGGACATTGCATTAGAACTAGGGGCTGCAACAGCTCTACCTTGCGGGAGGATGTTTTCTGTGGGCTCATCCCACAAGTGGCAATTCCCATCTTCTCCAGCTCCCTGGGGTAAAAAAGTTATTTGGGGTGGATTTGGCAGCCAGTGAAAATTACATGACAGTATTTTTCAAAGATCCATGCTGTGGAAGTCGAATATTGAATCGGTGCCAGCAAACATGCATCAGTGTCTGTTCCTTCACCCCCAACTCCGATTATATGGGGAGGATCTAAGTGGGGCAGCTGGTAAGAAGTCAGTCCCCCCTTTTTCATGGCTCTATGTTGCACGAGAACTATTCCAGTTGGCTCAGCAGCCAAGTGGCATCTCCCATCTTCCCCAGCTTCCTAGAATGGAAGAACTATTATGGGTAGGTTGACAGCTATGAATATTGGCAGTTATTATTCTCCCCAGCTCTGCGCTGTGGAATATGTGTACTTGGTGGTGGGCGCAGCTGGGTGGCAGTGCCAGTTCCTACTTCCCCCTTTTCTCTTCTCACAGCTCCTACACCATAAGAAGAACTCTAGTGCAGTGCCTGGGAAAGAATGAGTTTTCTAATTTCCCCCAGCTCCTGATCTATAGGACAGACATTCTTCCAGGGCAGATTTGGAGCAAGCTTCAAAGACTGTAAACACTCTGCCCCTTTCAAGGAACTTTAATTGGATTAGACTGTGAAGCATATTATGCCCCAGGGAGTTGCTGAAAAAAGTAGAACAATCAGATAAAGATTGCTGGAGGCCAATGGTTGTATGTAATACCAACAGAGGTAGACCACCCAAAGTCTCAATGAGAAAGAGACAGTCAAAGAGAAAACCACAGTTATCTCTGGCAGTTAAAAAGACTGTGTACATGCCCAAGTCTGTGCTGTCTGAGGCATGCTGTTAGATGTTGCACACTTTGAAGGAAACAGACTTAACTGAACTAGTCCAATTATGTCACTAAACAAACAAGAAAATGAGGAAACAACAACAGATCCCAAAGGTGGTAAGGGAGAATCAATATCCAAAGTTGCTGCAATGTATTATCTAACATGTTCTGTTTTCAAAAAAAAAATTGTCAGATGTGCAAAGAAACAGGAAAGAGTGACCCATGTAAAGGGAAAAAGCCAACAATAGAAACTGTTTTTGAGGGAGCCCAGAGAATGGACTTAGCAGGAAAGTTCAAAGAATCACAAAGCAGCTATTATAAATATGTCCCAAGAACTAAAGGAAACAATATTTAAAGAATTAAGTAAATGTATTATGACAGTTTTATCAAATAGAAAATATTGATAAAGATAGAAATTATTTTAAAAAGAAATGGAAATTCTAGAGTTGAAAAACACAGTAAGTAAAATGAAAAATTCAAAAGAGGAACTCAACAGTAGATTTGAGTTGGAAAAAGAATCAGTGAATTTGAAGATAAATTGAGATTATGCAATTTGAAGCACAGAGATGAAAAGAATGAGGAAAAATAAATGGCATCAGAGAAATGTGGGACACCATTAAGTGTACCAACATATGTATAATGAGAGTCCCAGAAAGATGAGAGAAAGAGAAAGGAGATAAAAACCTATACAAAGGAAAAATGGCTGAAAATATCACAAATTTGACCAAAAAAAAAAAAAACCCAAACAAAAGAACAAAACAACACATTAATCTACATATCCAAGAAGCTTGTTGAACTCAAGTAGGATATTGCAAAAAGGTCTAGACCTTGAGACATTATAATCAAAATGTTGAAAACCAAGAATGAAGAGAAAATCTTGAAAGCAGCAAGAGAAGAGCAACGCATCATGTACAATGTAACCCCAGTAAGATTAACATCTGATTCCTTATCAGAAAGAATGGAGGCTAGAAAGCAGCTAGATGACACATTCAAAGTGCAGAAAGATAAAAACCTCAACCAAGAATCCAACAACATATTTTGCACTTACATATATTACAAACTGCACAATAAATTTTTATAATTATTGTTTTATATAATTTCATGTTTCATGTCTTTTATAGTAGCTGAGAGAAGAAAGGAGGGCAAGTATATATTTAGAGAGTTTATTATGTTAATCTTCTTATTCTTCATTTCTGGCGCTCTTTATTTCTTCCTGTAGATTCAAGTTACCATCTGGTGTCATTTCTGTACTATAATACAGCTTTGTTCCCTCCTACCTTTCTTGTGATGTTATTGTCAAATATATTGCATTTCTGTATGTTATAGGCTTAATAATGCAATTATATACATATTGTTTTATGCAATTGCTGTTTAAATCAGCTAAGAGAAGGAAGGAGTAGTAATATATATTATACTGTGGTTCAAATTACTGACATAATGACCTCTGCTGATGCTCATTGTTTTACTGTGTGGATTCAAATTACCGTCTGGTGTCAATTGCTTTCAGTCTGAACAATTTCCTTTAGCATTTCTTGTAAGGATAGCCTTCTAGTAACAATCAGATACCACTTCACATCCAGCAGAATGGCTGTAATAAAAAAGATAGACAATAACAAATGTTGGTGAGGATGTGGAAAAATTAGAACTCTCATACACTGCTAATAGGAATGTAAATTGGTGCAACCATTTTGGAAAAGAGTTTTTGCAGTCCTGCTGAAGTTTAACCATGGAGTTACCATATGACTCTAATTACCCTCCTGGGTATCTACCCAAGATAAATGAAAACATATGTCCACACACAAAAATTTTACATGAAGATTCATAGCAGCATTATTCATAATAGCCAAACAACCCAAATGCCCATCAAATGAATAATGAATAAACAAAAAGTGGTTTATCCATAAAATAGATTATATCATTTGGCAATAAAAATGAAAAATAAAAAGTACTAATGTATGCTACAACATGGATGAACCTTGAAAATATTATGCTAACTGAAATAAGCCAGTCACAAAAAGTACATGTATTGTGTGATTCCATTTATTTAAAATGCTCAGATTAGGCAAATCCATAAAGAAAAAAATAGATTAGTGGTTGTCAGGACCTAGGGGGAGGTGGAAATAGGGAGTGACTGATAATGAATATGAGGTTTCTTCTTGGGTTGATAAAAATATTCTGAAATTAGTTAATGGTGATGGTTGCACAACTCTGTATATACTAAAAACCATTGAATTGCACATTCTAAATGGGTGAATTTATTTGTTGTGACTTTAATCTGAATAATGCTGTTAAAAAAGAACTTTTATATTCCATTTCAATAATCATCCAACGTGGTAGATGTTTGCATTATATTTTCATATCATATGAATCAGTAGCATTGGGAAAGAGAGAAGAGGACAAGATCCAAGGCCCAGGCTCAAAAAATGTTTGGAGCTTGGTTTTTTTCTTGCCAAGTCATTCCTGGTATCATCTGGATGAGGGGAACGGCTCCTGTTTATTTTCCCCAATCAATCAGTAAACATAGTTAGATTTGTTTGTGACAGTTTTCCTGCCATGCTTCAGTTCAGAAACTAAAATCTCTGAAATGTAAAGAAGAGGAATGAGAATTAAAATTATTATACTTGGCACAGCACATGGAAACCACTTGGGAGTGCCCTTAGTGAAGAGCCTCTCTGGAGGTGTGCACATTTGAGCGAATGTCCATGTGTGTTTTCTGGTGTGGTTGATACATCAGGCCTTGCAGGCTGGTTCCAGGCTGAATGAACGTATGACCCCCTTTGATAGGACAGGCTTATTGACTGCTGTGGCAGCCCTAGTAATAGCGTCCTTTTGTTCTTCTTCTTCTTCTTTCATGAGTAGATAGTTGTATTAATTTACCAGACATTCCACATGCTTCCTGGGAAACATATCCTAGGCCGACAAAAGAGGATGTGTATGTTGTTGGGACTGTGTTAAGGTACCGCTGTCATCCTGGCTACAAACCCACTACAGATGAGCCTACGACTGTGATTTGTCAGAAAAATTTGAGATGGACCCCATACCAAGGATGTGAGGGTGAGTTTTTGTTTTTTAATATTTTTGTATATTAAATGTCCAGTATGTGCTAGGATTCTCTACCTTAAATGAATATAATTTTATCCCTCACAACAAGTTTAGAATTAAGTTAATTCAACAGATTAGTAAACTGTTAGTGCCAGAAGGGGACCATAAACATGTTACAGTTTGAGGCACTGAGAAATTGTAACCTTTCCTTATCCCAGTTCAGAATCAAATGAGAAGTAGACACAGAAGTCAAACATTATGCAGATTATGTATTAGTTTTCTTACTGGTAAAACTAGAATGGAGAATACAGCTCAACTATTGTCAGAGTCAGGCTTCCTTCATAGCCCTTACCTCCCCAGTATGGGCTTTGGGGTGTTTGGCAGAAGACAAGTTTGTGAAACAGTCATGAGCGTAACCAGCTGCAGGGTGACTTGTGTCTCATGTCTCTTGAACCATGAGATGGCAGGGCTTCCTGATCTGCCTCTAGAAGACAAATCCTGACTCGTGACTGAGCATTCTCACTTCGTAAGGATAGAAAGGAGACTTCCTCCAGTTTCTCTGGTAGGAGACGCACCTCTTTTATTTGTGGAAATGAGTGAGGGACTGAACGACAAGTGGATACTATATTATGAGCCTCAGTGGAACAGACAAGAGAGGAAGAAAATGCTTTCTTCTATCCATCTATCAGAACCTTGCCACTTTAGAGGTGAAGACACTGAGGCCAAGAATACAGGGAATTTTATGCTGCATATCAGAATTTCAACAATCTGTGAAATGCATAAATAATGAAAAGTGGTAGTTTAGATCAACCTGTCAGAAGATTACTTATTTCATATTAAGACTTAACAAAGTTTAATTGCAGTTATTCAGACTCATTTTGGGGAAATAGAATAAAAGATTTTAATAAAAGGACTGAATTAAAAATATACTTAATAAAACTTACCGCCATTACTTAAATAACAAAAAGTATTGCTTATAAATGTTTAAAAACCTCCTTTATAGTTGTATTTAGGCTAGGTGCGGTGGCTCCTACCTATAATCCCAGTACTTTGGGAGGCTGAGGCGGGAGGATTGCTTGAGCCCACGAGTTTGAGACCAGCCTGGGCAATAGAGTGAGACCCTTGTCTCTACAAATAATTTAAAAAATTAGCGGGATGTGGTGGCACACGTCTGTAATCCCAGCTACTCAGGACGCTGAGGTAGGAGGATAACTTGAGGCTAAGAGGCCAAAGCTGCAGTGAGCCGAGATCATGCCACTGCATTCCAGCCTGGATGACAGAGCAGGACCCAGTTGTTTACATTTATTTGATCCCCTATGATCTTATTGATTTAATTATTTAATAAAGAATATTTTTAACCATTTTAAAAGCAGAAGTGAAGTAGTATTTATCCAAGTTATGAAACCTGATCAAATGTGAATTTAGACTCATGACTTACATATTTAAAAGTATTTTCTGCACTGCAAAGCATTTCATAAATATTATTGTTGTTTTAATATCCAAACCATATGATTGCTGAATATTTTTATTATAATTCCTAAACAAATGAGCACTGGAAGTGTTTGAGTATGTCCAAAAGACCCCATTTTAATACTGGTCGAGTTACTGACATGGAGAATGTAATATTTTATTCTGTTTTGATGTTTTCTCTTACATCAGACAATAGCAAGTTTTTTCTTAAAGTATTTCTACTAATGAATAAAAAAATATGTCCCTATAGCAGCTCTTACTGTATTAAAAAATTAAAGAATTTGGCCAGATGTGGTGGCTCACATGTGTGACCCCAGCACTTTGGGAGGCCGAGGTGGGGGGCCACTTGAGGCCAGGAGTTTGAGATCAGCCTGGGTAACATAGTGAGACCCCTTGTCTACCAAAAAATTAAAAACTTAGTGGGTGTGGTGGCACACACCTGTAGTCCCAGCTACTCAGGAGGCTTAGGTGGGAGAATTGCTTGAGCCCAGGAGTTTGAGACTGTAGTGAGCCATAATTGTGCCCTGTACTCCAGCCTAAGTGATAAAGCAAGATCTTGCCATTTAAATGGCTATTTCTCTCAAATTTTGCATCAAAAAAGAAAAATCCTTGAAATAAGCAGTAATTTAAATTTTTTCGTATGCTTTAGCTCTTAGGTGGATATAAACTTTTGAAAACTTTCTTCTTCCTTGTGACTTGAGAAGTATAAGTTAATAGAGAGTTTAATAATGAAGCCATAAGTAAATGGATGTTGTTTGTCATTGCCCTTGAATAATTTTGAAAATTTACATTTTCATATTGGTTAAATTTTTTTAAATATTTTTTATTTTTTAGAGACAAGATCGCACTCTGTTGCCCAGGCTGGTCTCAAACTCCTGGGCTCAAGCAATCCTCCCATTTTGAACTCCCAAAGCACTGGGATTATAGGCATGAGCTACCACACCTGGCTCTTCATATAAGTTTAATCCAACTTTTCATTTTGGAGGCTCCTAATGAAATGCTTAGTTGGAAGGAAATAACTGGATTAGAGGACTTTAGCAAATAAGGGGGGAAAGAGCAGACTTGGAGTGTCTTGGGTCTCCCTTTCTGTTTCCCCAATCTCTCTTCAGTGGTGAGATCGTCCAAAGATGGAAATGAGGTTGTTAGCCATAGAAGCTTCCTCATGGTGATTTTACTAACCATGCACCTCACATTTTATTTTTCAGCGTTATGTTGCCCTGAACCAAAGCTAAATAATGGTGAAATCACTCAACACAGGAAAAGTCGTCCTGCCAATCACTGTGTTTATTTCTATGGAGATGAGATTTCATTTTCATGTCATGAGACCAGTAGGTTTTCAGCTATATGCCAAGGAGATGGCACGTGGAGTCCCCGAACACCATCATGTGGAGACAGTAAGAGTTCATAGAATTATCTTATTCTGGGAGTTTCTTCATATCAGTGTGATGGAGATTATTAAGAGAAGGTTTAAAATTAGGTAAAAAAATTCATATACCTTGCATGATTCTTGGAATGGGTCCAACTTTCTCCTTCTTCCTCATTGTGTGTTCCCTTTCTTTTGGCCTCTTCAGTTTCCTCTTTTCTGAATCAGTGAAAATAGACAACATGTAATAAATAAGCTGGACTTTTCAAGTTATGTGTTTTTGTTTCTTTGTATTATTCTCTTTCTTCCCTTATTTCTGGTCCATATGTCTCAATCTGCAGAAGAAGAACTGTCGAAATCTATTGAATCTGCCTTTCTGAACTTGTTTCCTTCTTCTTCCTCAAACAGCAGCCTTCTGTTACCTCTGAGCCCTCCAGTCAGACCATCACCCAGTGTAGAATGCCTCCTTCTGCTTCTCCAAAAGGCTCAAGTGGGCCAGGCATGGTGGCTCACACCTGTAATCCCAGCACTTTGGGAGGCTGAGGTGGGGAGATCACCTGAGGTCAGGAGTTCAAGACTAGCCTGGCCAATATGGCGAAACCTGGTCTCTGTTAAAAATACAAAAAATTAGCCAGGCATGGTGGCGTGGGCCTGTAGTCCCAGCTACTCAGGAGGCTGAGGCAGGAGAATCACTTGACCTCGGGAGGCGGAGGTTGCAGTGAGCCGAGATCACGCCACTGCATTCCAGCCTGGGCTACAGAGCGAGAATTTGTCCCAAAAAGAAAAAAAAAAGGCTCAAGTGTTAATGCATTCCACCCTCCTCCCTGTGCTTGATATCTCTATCTAGCAATGGTGAGGGCTCATTACCCCTATTAGGAGCCCAAAGTGATCAGGCATTAGTTGCAGCTTATCCATCAATAGGAAAATTCCTATCTCCCACTTGTAGAAATGTTCCCACTTTGCCAACCAGGTCTTTTAAACCTGCAGGTCCCAGAGCTTCAGAGATGTGAAGCACAAATTTCCCAAGTAGGTCACTTAGACTGGTAGCCAATGGGGCCACTCATGCTTCCATCCCCTGGTTCCTGGACCCATGCATTTATTTTACTGGGGACCCAGAGCCATATAAAAGTCGATATGATTCAAAATAAATACAGCATTTTGGAAGATAGTATCCCATCACTGTCAAGCATTGCCTCCCAGCTGGCACTTCAACTGTGCCTTTAATAGGCCATTCAGTGTTTTCACAGGTTGGCAGGTTCTGAATGATGCAGTATGTGATTTGAGTAGTGGATTCCATGAGCATGGTCCCAACAACACACCTTCTTTGCTGTGAGTGGGTTTTCTAGTTGGATGTAGTGGATCCTATGCCAATGCCAATTGTTCAGACACTCTATAACCCTTAAGATGACCGTGCTGACTGAGGTTCTGCAAGGAAGAAAGGCAAACCCATGCCTGCAATATTTGTCTAGTTCTATCAGAATACACTTCTCTTCCTTTCATGGTAGAAGAGGTCCAATGTAGTCAACTTGCTAGGAAGTGGCTTTTTGGTTGCCTCAAGTGATGGTATCATACTAGGGACTTAGCATTGTTGTTGGCACGTTGGAGATTCAGTGACAACAGTGAGCCTTGGTGAGTGGGAGCCCATGCTGTTGGGCCCATGCTTGTCTTCCATGCATGCCACCACAACCACTCTGCTCCTCTTCCTCTTGTGCCAGCACCCATGAGGCCAATAACAGAGAATGGCTTACTTCAACTGGCTGAGACTTTTTTACTTGGTTGTTTAATACCTTTTCTACTGGGGATGCTCTGGTGTTAACACACAAAATAAAGATCTTCACACTTCCTGCCCACTCTCATATGTCCACTTACCTGCTCCTACCCCAGATCTCTTTGTGCCCAATCTTCCAATCTTTCTTCTTACAGGACTAGGACCTTGACCAGACAAGCCATTCATTCCATGCCCTGAATCCTAATTTAGCCTATCCTTAGGCCACTTTCTTTGGGTGCACCATCTATAGCACTTTCTTTCAGGAAGATTACCCCTTACAAATTGTCTTTCAGGACTGACCTTGATTGGGCTGTAATGCAGCTTCCATTCATTTTAGCTTGTACACACCAAAGGAGTGAAGGGCATGCCATTTCAAAATATGCTGAATTGGTATGTTGAATATTTCAAGTGGAAAACATTAGAGGAATTGGAGTTTCAGAAAGGGCTAGCTGTCCTGTCTCTTTTTGCATGCACGAGCCATAAAGATTGCTCTGGGAACAGTACCCTCCCCCTACTAGAGCAAGAAAATCACCCTCATCACCAGAGACTGGGAATTAGGGGCTGCAGTGGACCTGAATACTAAACTTCCCAAAGTAGTTTTTATCTTCCACTAGTTTTACAGCCCCTCCCTATACATCTCTTAGTGACTCTCCTAGAAATTTATTGCTCCTAGCCAAATCCTCTTTGTCCTGTCATTTCTTCTTAAATTTATTGTTCTTTGTTTACAAAGTATAAAATATCTTGCTTTGGCCACTTCTTCAGACTTTACCCTCTTGGGAAGATCCCCATGTATGTATAAAATTTGTGTGCTTTTCCCTTGTTAATCTACCTAGTGTCAATTTGATTTCTAGATCCAGCCGAAGAGCCCACATAAGAGCTAAGGGGATTAGGGGTGGAGGTGATCTCTCACTTCTCTACAACACATACTGTGAACCCAAAATGTCTGAGACAGGTCTCAATCAATTTAGAAAATTTATGTTGCTAAGGTTAAGGACGCGCCTGCGACAGCCTCAGGAGGTCCTGATGACATGTGGCCAAGGTGGTCGGGGTACAGCTTGCTTTTATACATTTTAGGGAGACATAATACATGTAAGATTTATACTGGTTTGATCTGGAAGGGTGGGAGAACTCAAAGTGGTGTCGGGGAAGGAGGAGTGGGGCTGGGCTTCTGGATCATAGGTAGATTTTCTGATTGGTAATTGGTTGAATTATTATCAGAAGAAAGGAATATCTGGTTTATGATAAGGGGTTGTGGAGATATGTTTTGTTTTGTTTTGTTTTGTTTTGTTTTGTTTTGTTTTGTTTTGAGACAGAGTTTCTCCCTGTTGCCTAAGCTGGAGTGCAGTGGTGCGATCTCGGCTCACGGCAACCTCCACCTCCTGGGTTCAAGAGATTCTTGTGCCTCAGCCTCCCGAGTAGCTGGGATTACAGGCACATGCCACTGGGCCCAGCTAATTTTTGTATTTTTAGTAGAGACAGCGTTTCACCATGTTGGCCAGGCTGGTCTTGAACTCCTGACCTGAAGTGATCCGCCCACCTCGGCCTCCCGAAGTGCTGGGGTTACAGGCATGAACCACCGCACTGAGCCATAAATGTTTCTTATTAGATTTAAGATCTGTGTTGGTGTTAATGTTGGAGGGGTATAATGGGGAATGTCCAACCCTCTCTTCCAACATGGCCTGAACAAGATGTTCAGGTTAACTCTGGAATGCCTTGGCCGAGAGGAAGGGTCCATTCAGATGGTTGGGGGACCTTAGAATTTTATTTTTGGTTTACAATACCAAAAATATTTATCTGTGAACCACGTTCAGAGTTTTCCCCATCCGGACAGTTTGGTTATACTGGATAACTGGTATAGCCACAACTGTGAGCTAAAGAAGAGGCACTCCTGCCATAGTGGCTGGGCACAGGTAGGAATTGGGTTTTCTGTTTGTGCAGCTTGCCTGTGCCACCTTTTACTGCCCATGCTCAATCCCAGATGCTCTACTTCCATCTTATAATGAATGGTTGCCTGCTTATAACCTGATGGGTCTGACAGACTTGGCTTATGATGGGTGATTCTGGCTGCATGATCACTTGATGACCCAATGTTGGGAGCTTTCTCTATCAGGACCTGGTAGCATGCCAAGAGTTATATTTCAGAAAGCATACAGTCCTCTACTGCAGTGCATGGCCTTGCTTCAGGATCTCAAGGATCTATGGTGTAACTGTCCTGTTGACATTTACATCTTTTCCTACTACAACCACCTTCAAATACACTAGGTTCTGCTGGGTCCTAAGGCTCAAGCAACAGGATAATTTCACTGCAGACTAGACCTGCTGTTAAGCACTTTCCTAACATGGGCCCCGCTCAAACCTGGCAATCATTTGTCCCCCCTAGCCTATGGGTTGGAGCAGTAACCCCAGTATGAATTATGCTGCCTCTAGAATCTGAAAAGTCCTATTTAGGTGCTGTACTGCATTCTTCAGAGTGGGATGTGCAATTTGCAATAATTTGACTTTAGTTTGGATGGGATATCTTAGTGTTCCCTGAACCTTGGACCTCTGAAAATTGTATTGATGTGGCAAACACCTGACTCTATTTTTTATTGTATTTTTTTACTTTGGAGCATCATCATGCTAATACCTCTTGCTTATCTGGGGGAATTAACATGATGCCATTGATATATTGGATCAATGTCATGTTCTGTGGATATCCAGACGGTCAAGATATATTCAGACTCTATTATGACATGGGCAAGAGGGTTATCATAGCCCAAAACCTGCAAATGTACACTCCTCACACCTTCCATGTATATGCAAACTGTTTCTGCTAGGAAAGGAAAGAAGGGCCTCTGCTGAATCAGTGACCTCGTTTACTTGAAGCCACATTAATCTGCCCTAGCAAAGATACCACATCTGGTGCAATGGCTGCAATAGGAACTAAAATGTGGTGTCTTTTTTTCAGTGGTATACTGTAGTTCTTCAGAATCCTTCTAATTTTTGTAGTAGACAGATAAGAATTTAATGGAAATATCACAGGGATGACCACTCCCATGTCTTTAGCTATTTGAACGGCACTAATTTTCATGTTTCTCTCCCACCCCTGGGAGATATTGTGGTGGTGTTTTTTTCTTTAAATTTACTTTATTTGCCTTGGGGAGAGGGTGAGATGGGTGGACAGTAGCAATTGCTTTCACTTGGTCTTCCTGCATAAGATGGCTCTTACCCCGCAGGTCAAGAACCCAATATAGGGGCTGGGCCAACTACCAATTTTGTCTATTCTGACTATACGTTCAAGGATAAGGTAGATGACCACAAACTGGTCTAATAGGAGAGCTATAATGGTTCCAGGTATCAATGTCAACTCAAGCCCTGTGTGCAATAATTTTTGAATTATTGTACCTCTTTTATCAGTGCAGTTACCTACGTAAATAAACATAGGTCCTCTTGGAGGACTGGCAGATTCATTACTGTGCAAACCTTCCAAGATTTTGTAGCATCTTCACTCCTGGCAACTGGCTTCATCTTCAATTAATGATTACCAGGCTGGAAAACTGTCCTAGGTTTATATATTGGGCAAAGGATTGTGACTTTTTATTGGGCCAAATGCTGTTGGTCCCTTGATCATCCATCCTTAATTTCTTTTGATGGTACAAATAAAGTGTATATTGTTGTTGGCTGCTCATCTGTTTTCACCCCTAAGAATGCTATGGTTTAATCTTCATAACTCTCAGGCACCCCTGGTTGCCTCTCTGACCTTGCAATTCATTATAATGGTTGCATTTATTTAGCTTCTGAGGCATATGAGCAGCTTTCTGACTGCTATGGCTATCAGTGAACCTTTTTCATTAATGACCTTTTTTGTCATCAGCTCCAGCATTTGATGCTGGTTCTCCTCTTTTCAGGGAATTCCTTATAGCTTTGGTAAATATTGTTCCCTCTAGGACTTCCCATGTGGCATAACTACCTGGTGCGTTTTTCAGTGTACACAAATGTCCACTCCAGCATGCTCACTTCCCTGAGTCATTTAATCCCTTCTTATACCATCTGCCATGGCAATCCCAGCATTTCAGTCTGACTTATTGTGGGCCATCAGCTTTTCCATGCTTCCAGGAGCATCTTATTGTAGTACTTATAACTGCCATAGTCCACTGGTATAGTACTTTGTCCGACATTCCTGCTGCTCTGCTTTTTTTTTTTTTTTTAACTTTCTCATGCAGTGTTTGTGGACCTGATAGTGTTCCCTTTCAGAGAGGTGCTCTGCACCATGTCCTCTTGACTATTTCAATGTTCAAGTCACCATATTCATTTATCCAATGAGCTCTTTTCTATAGTTTTTTAAAATGCAATATTTTCTTCTTGGGCATGGATGGACAGTACTGATTGGGGAGCAATGACTCAGAGATTGTGGATGATATAACATCCTTACAGTTTCTCACAGATGCAAATCTCTGCATTTAGCCTGAAAGTGACTAAGTGTACTATGAGTATGATATGACCTAAGGCTGAATTCAACCTTCATGCCAAAATGGCTCCTAAACAATGGAAAGTTGAGTGAACTTGTCAATAAGATGAAGGAAAACCTAAGGGCTATATCTCGAGCCTTTCTATGGTTGCCCAGCTTGAGGCTTACAGGAGGAGAGCAGAAGTGTCTGGGTTTGGCTACGTGCTCTTACAGGCAGCGAGGATAGAAGGACAGAATGAAGCCTCCTACAAACTACATGTATTCTGCAATGTGCTACTTTATACACTTTACAAACTAATGCTCTCTCACTTTTTTGTCTCTCCCTCAAGTTTGCAATTTTCCTCCTAAAATTGCCCATGGGCATTATAAACAATCTAGTTCATACAGCTTTTTCAAAGAAGAGATTATATATGAATGTGATAAAGGCTACATTCTGGTCGGACAGGCGAAACTCTCCTGCAGTTATTCACACTGGTCAGCTCCAGCCCCTCAATGTAAAGGTAACTCCAGCTTCCTTTTCAGCTCAAGATTAAGTGGGTGGACGTGTCCTGAGAGCACTGAGAGCTAAGTTTCTTCCCTGTCAGAGGCAGCATGAAAACATTTGATTTGATTTATATTAAATAATCAATATATGCAAATGGTACCCAATGCAAAAACTACAAAGGGCACACACAAACATTAATCTCCTCCATTTCTTTCTCCCAATCACAAAATTCAGCCTTCTTGGGGCAGCCCATACCAGGTTTCTTGTATATTTCCAGAAATATTCTAAAAGTATCACATTTTATCTTAGTGTACCTGTGGCCTGTGGCAAAGTTTCCATAGAAACTTGCTCTAGTATGAATATAGGCTCCCCTGAGTGAATTCTAAATATCATGAGTGACAGTTATTTCCACCAGAGTCTCGTGCAGGGCATGCACCACCTGCTATGATATAGATGGTGTGTGTTGGTGTGAGGGGTCAGGGAGGGTGAAGGGGGACTCGTAGTTTGCAGCAGTTGTGGGGACAGGAGGAGTTGAGATCAGGTCTGATTTTTACATGAATAGAAGTTTGCTGTCAACATGCATGACTTTGCTGTCAAAAACTTCAGTATTTATTTGCCATCATTGTTTCTTTTGTACACAGGAGAATAATAGTCAAGAAGGAAATTTTTTTTATTATACTTTAAGTTCTGGATGACATGTACAGAACATGCAGTTTTGTTACAAAAGTATACATGTGCCCTGGTGGTTTGCTGCACCCATCAACCTGTCACCTACATTAGGTATTTCTCCTAATGTTATCTCTCCCCTTGCCCCCCACCCCCCGACAGGCCCCAGTGTGTGATGTTCCCCTCCCTGTGTCCATGTGTTCTCATTGTTCAACTCCCACTTATGAGTGAGAACATGCAGTGTTTGGTTTTCTGATCTTGTGATAGCTTGCTGAGAATGATGGTTTCCAGCTTCATCCATGTCCCTGCAAAGGACATGAACTCATTCTTTTTTGTGGCTGCATAGTATTCCATGGTGTATATGTGCCACAGTTTCTTAATCCAGTCTATCATTGATGGACATTTGGGTTGGTTCCAAGTCTTTGCTATTGTGAATAGTGCTGCAATAAACATACGTGTGCATGTGTCTTTATCATAGAATGATTTATAATCCTTTGGGTATATGCCCAGTAATGGGATTGCTGGGTCAAATGGTAATTCTAGTTCTAGATCCTTGAGAAATTGCCACACTGTTTTCCACAATGGTTGAACTAATTTACACTCCACCAACAGTGTAAAAGCATTCCTATTTTTCCACAACCTCTCCAGCATCTGTTGTTTCCTGACTTTTTAATGATCACCATCCTAACTGGTGTGAGATGTTATCTCATTGTGGTTTTGATTTGCATTTCTCTAATGACCAGTGATGATGAGTATTTTTTCATAGGTCTGTTGGCTGCATAAATGTCTGCAAGAAGGAAATTTTTATACTTAGAATCTTGCAGCAATCAAAACTGTGAGTGACAGTTACCTCGTTAGTTGGGATTCTGGGGTCACATACCTTCTTTTAGAAATATCCTGTCATGGAAACAACATGCTGGAGAGGATGTGGAGAAATAGGAACACTTTTACACTGTTGGTGGGAGTGTAAATTAGTTCAACCATTGTGGAAGACAGTGTGGCGATTCCTCAAGGATCTAGAACTAAAATACGATTTGACCCAGCAATCCCATTACTGGGTATATATGCAAAGGATTATAAATCATTCTACTATAAAGACACATGCACATGTATGTTTATTGCAGCACTATTCACAGTAGCAAAGACTTGAGACCAACCCAAATGCCCATCAATGATAGACTGGATAAAGAAAATGTGGCACATATACACCATGGAATACTGTGCAGCCATAAAAAAGAATGAGTTCATGTCCTTTTCAGGGACATGGATGAAGCTGGAAACCATTATTCTCAGCAAACTAATGCAGGAACAGAAAACCAAACACCACATGTTCTCACTCATAGGTGGGAGCTGAAAAATGAGAACACATGGACACAGGGAGGGGAACATCACACACTGGGGCCTGTCAGGGGGTGGGGGGCAAGGGGAGGGATAGCATTAGGAGAAATACCTAATGTAGATGATGGGTTGATGGGTGCAGTAAACCACCATGGCACATGCATACCTATGTAACAAACCTGTAGATTCTGCACATGTATCCCAGAACTTAAAGTATAATAAAAAAAGAAATATGTTGTCATATTATATGAAAATGTTATTACTTTGAGCAAGTGTCTTAATGTATCTCAGCTGTCTCTTAGATAAAATGGGAATAATAACAGTGCTCATTTCATAGGGCTGCCAGGAGACTTAAATGATAGCAACATAAAGTGCCTAGCAGAAGTCTGATAGGTAGTCATACTCAATAAAATGCTAATATGAATGTTTTCAAATGAAGAGAAAGATAGAACAATTAGCAGAACTAAATACAGTTCATTCTTATTATCCGAGACTGTTATCATGTCCTTCTTCATAGATTTACAGATTTCTTAAAAATATGTTTCCATTACAGCTCTGTGTCGGAAACCAGAATTAGTGAATGGAAGGTTGTCTGTGGATAAGGATCAGTATGTTGAGCCTGAAAATGTCACCATCCAATGTGATTCTGGCTATGGTGTGGTTGGTCCCCAAAGTATCACTTGCTCTGGGAACAGAACCTGGTACCCAGAGGTGCCCAAGTGTGAGTGGGTAAGTGGCACAATTCAAGGAAGTTCTGTGCTGTCGACCCCTAAAAATGGTGGCATCCCCCAGAGCTCTGTACCACTCAACAATGGTGAAATCTGACTTGTCAGGATTCATTTCTGAGCCACTCCCACTCAAAGAAACTCTTTTTGTCTTGAAGCATTCTGGTAAGTTAGGGGTGGCAAGTTCTCCTGTTCTCACTTGAGAACAGGAAAAACTGAGCCCTTACAGAGCAGGGTTTCATAGACCCAGTAGTACTGATTTCTAGCCTAACTTTTGCTAAGCTATATAATATATTGTTGTTCCATTTCTGGATGGTCAGCAAAAACAGCCTCTGTTACCATGGGGGCCTTCTGGACAGCTGTCTCAGAACAGATCCATGTTCCCCTGGGGAAGACTGTGGTGGGACCCAAGTGATTTCTTGTTTTCCCAGCCTCAACCACCAGTCTGAGGTTGGTCTTGGTTCAATCCTGTAGTCCTTCCACTGTCAGGATCCACCCTCCTTTATGATTAGAAGAGAAGCTTCTCAATCACACCCACCACTTATATCTTTTAGGAGACCCCCGAAGGCTGTGAACAAGTGCTCACAGGCAAAAGACTCATGCAGTGTCTCCCAAACCCAGAGGATGTGAAAATGGCCCTGGAGGTATATAAGCTGTCTCTGGAAATTGAACAACTGGAACTACAGAGAGACAGCGCAAGACAATCCACTTTGGATAAAGAACTATAATTTTTCTCAAAAGAAGGAGGAAAAGGTGTCTTGCTGGCTTGCCTCTTGCAATTCAATACAGATCAGTTTAGCAAATCTACTGTCAATTTGGCAGTGATATTCATCATAATAAATATCTAGAAATGATAATTTGCTAAAGTTTAGTGCTTTGAGATTGTGAAATTATTAATCATCCTCTGTGTGGCTCATGTTTTTGCTTTTCAACACACAAAGCACAAATTTTTTTTCGATTAAAAATGTATGTATAAAAAACTATTTTGTCTTTGTGGTCATTTAGGACTCTGTGAAATAAGCGTCCTTAAAAAACCCATAATATAAAGTTAATACATTAATACATTTGTTTTACTGTTTGGGCCACAAATAATAGGTACTTGGGTTTTCTTTTTTTTTTTTTTTTTTTTGAGACAGACTCTCACTCCGTTGCCCAGGTTGGACTGCAGTGGCACAATCTTGGCTCACTGCAACCTCCACCTCCCAGGTTCACACAATTCTCCTGCCTTAGCCTCCTGAGTAGCTGGGATTACAGGTGTGTGCCATCATGCCCAGCTAATTTTTGTATTTTTAGTAGAGACGGGGTTTCACCACTTTGGCCAGGTTGGTCTCGAACTCCTGACCTCAAGTGATCTGCCCACCTTGGCCTCCCAAAGTGCTGGGATTACCGGTGTGAGCCACCATGCCTGGCCATACTTGGGTTCTTATCGTGGACAGACTGCCTTTACTCCACAGTTTCATGTGTGCACAGCACTCATGTCCTCCCTGGTGAGGTTAAATGTCAACACACCCTCAAAGCCTCCCCCATTCTCCCGCTCTGGGGGAGTCACGCCTTCCCCTGAGCCCCTGTGCACGTTGTCTCTTTGACTCATGCCACATCTCCACTATTGCCTTCCATGAAGGAAGTTTGCTTTTGTGTCTGACTTCCTCATTCCAACCCCAGAGAAGGAACTTCGAAAGACAGATGAAGATGAAGCCCACATGTCAGTCCTCTGCATATTCTCAATTCTTCTATCTGATTTGGTCACCATTTTCCTTAATATTAAGTTAAAACAGGTTGAGCAACTGCCCCACACAGGAAGAGATATCCCATATCAAACTTCCTTATATTTCTGGGTACTCTAGGAACTTTTATTCCTTTAAGTCATCACTTTTTCTGACTCTTGCTTCCTGTGCAGTCTCTTTCTCACTCTTATCTCAGCTCCTCTGGCTGTCTTTTCTCTCCCTGCACACAGAACTCTGGCCTTTTGAACATTGGCCTTTTTGGCTTAATTTTCCCAAAATTATGTGAAGGAAATGGCATTATGGCAGGCTTTCACTGAACTTTAGATGTAACAGAGGAGGTGGTGCTGTTGGAGAAACCCACTGCTATAGTTTGAGTGTTTGTACCCTCCAAACTCATGTTGAAAGTAAATCCCCAATGTGGAACTATTGAAAGGTGGGGTTTTTAAGAGGTGACTGGTTCATGGGGGTTCTGTCCTGATGAATGGATTAAACCATTCATAGATGAATATTTTGTGTGCTAATGAGAAGAATGTGTTTTCGCAGCTGTTATCACAGAAGTGGGACTGGTGGCTTTATAAGAAGAGGAAGAGAGACCTGAGTTAGTATGCTCAGCCCCCTTGCCATGTAATGCCCTGTGCCACCTTGGGCCCCTGCAAAGTCCCCACCAAGAAGGTCCTCACCAGATGCTGAGCCGTGGCCTTGGATTTCCCAGCCTTGAGAATTGTAAAAAATAATTTTTTTTGTTTATAAATTACCCAGTTTCAGGTATTCTGTTATAAGCAACAGAAAATAGACTAAGACATCCACTTAACATCAAACGTATCTATCCATGATCTTAAAAGCCATTACCTACTAGGCTACTAGGCATTTCTTGGTTTAATGTTTATTTTTGAATTTCCCCTGATACAAGAATTTGTGAGCAACTAGTTTCCCTGAAAGGTGGTTCCAGAAAACACTGTAAGTGAGTGGGCAGTAAGATGGAGAAGGGAAGAAAGCCCATTAGGGAACATTGTTGAGGGGGTTATTTCATTGCCAACTGGGACTCAATCATGCTGGAAGCATCTGAGAGCATGTAGAACCCAACTCTGAGTTGTCCTCCTCAGGAAAAAGACCTGGGTATTTTTCTGCCTATTCTCTTCTCTCACTGGTGAAGTTTTGCTCCAGTAGCAATGGCTCCCAGACCCAAGGGATCTACACTGTTGGCTGGCTGAGCAGGCTCCAAGGATGGGGCTCACCATCAGTCAGAGAGACATGGGTAGCCAATGACACCTATGGGACCATTTGCACTAACCTCTAGAGTAGGTCAAGGCCATATGGCCAGGATACAGATGAACTCTTCTACAGCTGCCTTTTCTGTATGGTTCCATCTGTTGACTAAGCACAATGGCATCAGACAGTCTCTACTGGCTTACAGAAATATCACTAACTTTTTTGTATTAATGTTGAATCTTGCAACTTTACTGAATTCATTTATCAATTCTAACAGTTTTTTATGGAGTCTTTATGTTTTTCTAAATATAAGATAGTGTCATCTACCAACAGGGACATTTTGACTTCTTCCTTTCCAATCTGAATGCCCTTTTATCGCCTTTTGCTTGTCTAATTGCTCAGACTAGGATTTCCAGTACTATGTTGAATAAAAGTGGTGAAACTTGGCATCTTTGTTTTGTTCTAGATCTTAGAAGAAAGGCTTTCAACTTTTCCCCATTTAGTATGGTATTAGCTATGGGTTTGTGACTTAATGGCCTTTTTTGTTTTTAGGTACTTGGTATAATTTTGATTTCTAAAAATTTGCCGTGACTTGTTTTATGGCCTAACATAATCCTGGAGAATATTTCATGTGGTAATGAGAAAATGTGTTTCTGCAGCTGTTAGATGAAATGTTCCATAAATATCAATTTGTTCCATTTGGTATAGTGTGTAGTGTAACTCCGAAGTTTGTTTGTCAATTTACTGTATGGATTATCTGTTTATTGCTGAAAGTGGGGTGTTCAAATCTTCTAGTGTTATTCTATTGCAGTCAATCTCTCTCTTTAAGTCTATTAATATTTGCTTTATATATTTAGGTGCTCTGGTGTGGAGGATATATACATACACACATACATACACAAACACAATTGTCATATCCCCTTGCCATATTGACTTCTTTATCATTACATTTATTACAAAATAATCTTCTTTTAAAAAATCGTTTTTGATTTGAAGTCTATTTTATCTAAGCATATCTACTCCTGCTTTTTTTGGGTTGTTTCGCATTGGTTACTTTCTTCATCCTTTCACCTTTAGTGTATGCATGTCTTTATAGGTGAAATGAGCTTCTTGAGGACAGCATATAGCTGAGTCTTGTTTTTTAAAATCCATTCTGCCACTCTATGTCTTTTAATAGGATAATTTAACCCATTTACACTCAAGATTATAACTGATAGCTAAAGATGTACTATTATCATTTTGTTGCTTATTTTGTTTTTTTTTTTTTTGAGTCTTTCTTTGTTCCTCCCTTACTCTTTTCCTTCATAGTTAAGTCTTTGTCTCTAGTAGTATCTTTTGATTTCATGCTATTTATTTATTTTTAATTTATTTTTAAATTTTATTTTATTTTAAGTTCTGGGTTACATGTGCAGGACATGCAAGTTTGTTACACATGTAAATGTGTGCCATGGTGGTTTGCTGCACCTATCAACCCATCACCTAGGTATTTTTTTTTCACTGCTAAAATATTTTATTTTAAAATGTACCACAGTGAATGGATGTATCCATACTGGTTTTTATAAATGTACACACGCACATCCATATATTCGACAAAGTATATATATGTACTGGCTAAAGACCTATCCAAAAGAGGAAATATTTCTAGAAAGTTCATGTGTTTATACTTCATTTGACAATTAAAACTTACTTATTTGAACTGAAGTTTCAGTTGCTTAGCAATGACTAATAATACCAATGCCTGTCAATAATGACAACTAAATTGAGAACTGTAAATTTCACTGCTGTGCCTTGGGTCAAAATTTTCAATGATGGAATCCTAAATAAGTAACAGTTATTCCTATAATGGGGTATATATTCAGAAGGAATAAATATCTGCCACTATTACCAAAAGACTGTTCTCTGTAGAGCTCAAAAAAGTATTATGCCACAATACATCATTTGTATTTAAAAAGGATCTCTTGTTTAGATGCCACTGCAGATTCTGCTTTTACTAAACAGAAAGGCAGCACCCCATTTCTTTCTTGTAAAGGAGGGAAGTCTTTTATAAAAAACTCTTTGAAGAAGTTTTGATAGTTACGTTCAGAGTCAAACACAGCAGCACTTTATTAACAAGGACAGAGTAATATAATCACAAGGAAATACTTGTAAGTCTAAATTAAATGATATCTTGGACAGCATAAAATGAATAATAACAACGGCAGGCATCTCAATATGTCTGTCTCACAGCTGTTCAATGTCAAAGTAATTTGTAAGTGAGGAAAGACAAGAGCAACATTTACATCACAAATTGACTGTAAAATACTTCATTACATTGAGAAAGGTAATCAATGGTCAAAATCCATAACCAGAAGGAGATACCATTTGAGTATCTATCAATGGGCCAAACAGACCTGTTAGATTTTAATATTGCCTGGTATGGAACTCAGATACTGATTTCCTCTCTATGTAGGAAGCCAATGTTCATGTTCTTGATAATAGTCCTTAATCTTTCTGATTGAGGCAGTCCAAACCCATCTGACCTCAGAACACTAGGTCTAAGAGTCAACTTCTTACATTGATATATTTTCCTTGAGTTCTTTCATGGTGCTGTATCAGCATGTTACTATAATCTGAAAATGATATGGGGCACAAAGGAGCTATATATATATCTGAAATTATATATATATATGAAAAGTATCCCATATTCCAGTATCACATGACAAAAAATTTATGGTTAAATTATTTAAGACATTTACTTTATTTTTCTTGTGGCCATCCATTTAATTAAGTGAAGAACATCAGTGTATTAAGAAGGTCCCTCTTTATCACATGATATTTCTAAGCAGATATTTAGGAATGCTCAGAAGATTCCACTTTCAGTTGCCTAAGGCCTCCTAAGACATAATTTAAAGTGAGACTTGAACAGAAACAAGTATCTTCTGACTCTAGCTGAAATCGTAGAAATAGTTTCTGTTTAAATCCTGGGAAACCTTAGATAAGGTATGTGAAACTGAAAAAAGATCGAATCAGCACACACAGATAAAGGATACAACAGATACCAAGATGGGTAAATGCCCAATTATTTTCAGTCCTCATAATCTGTACAAAGTTATGAGGCAACCAGTAGGCCATATCTCACTAGGCAGCCTTTGAGGAAGATGTTTCCCCATTTGAAACACAAGAAATTATGAAAATACGGAGATGAAGAGGGAGCAGTTCTGTGTTTCTTGCTGTGTTACCTTTATTATATTCTTAGTGTCACTGAGACTAGTTTAAAAACAGCCTGCAACAAGAATATTCTCATCACCAACCACCTTTTCCACCTTTCTTCTTTTTCTGTTGCTGCTTCTTTTTTGTTGCTGGAGCCCCTGCAGGTTTCTGACCCATCACCTAGATATTAAGCCCTGTATGCATTAGCTATTTATCCTGGTGCTCTCCCTCCCCCTGCCGCCTAACAGGCCCCAGCGTGTGTTGTTCCCCTCCCTGTGTCCATGTGTATGTGTTCTCATTGTGTAGCTCCCACTTATAAGTGAGAACATGTGGTGTTTGGTTTTCTGTTCCTGTGTTGGTTTGCTGAGGATAATGGCTTCCAGCTCCATCCATGTCCCTGCAAAGGACATGATCTCATTCCTTATTATGGTTGCATAGTATTCCATGGTGTATATGTACCACATTTTATTTATCCAGTCTATCATCGATGGGCATTTGGGTTGATTCCATGTCTTTGCTATTGTAAGTAGTGCTGCAATGAACATACACATGCATGTATTTTTATAACAGAATGATTTATATTCCTCTGGGTATATACTCAGTAATGAGATGGTTGTGTCAAATGGTATTTCTGGTTCTAGGTCTTTGAGGAATCACCACACTATCTTCCACAGTGGTTGACATTTATTTTTTAATGTATCTACTATAAGTTTTTGTGTTGTGGTTTCCCTAAGGTTTATAAAAAATTTTATAGTCATAACAGGTTATTTTAAACTGACAATTTAACGTCGATCACAAAGAAAAGAATGATAGCAAAAACAAACTCTTCTTTAATATCACTCCTTCCCAGATTTTGATGTCTCTATTTCCATCTTTTTATATTGCCTGTCTCTATTGTTGCAGTTATTATCTGTAATAGTTTGTTTCATAGTCTTCATGCTAAAGATATAAGTGGTTGAGTTTCTACAGTTATATTATTCTAAATTTGTCTGTAAACTTACTTTTACCAATATGTTTTATACCTCCAGATGTTTTCTTCTAATACGTTAGTGTTCTTTTCTTTCAGACTGAAGAGTTCTCTTTAACATTTCTCTTAAAACAAATCTGGTCTTGATGAATTCCCTCAAATTTTGTTTGTCCAGGTAAGTCTTTATCTCTCATTCATATTTGAAGTTAGCTTTGCTGGGTACTAATATTTGTGTTGGACTTTTTTCTTTAGTACTTTGAATATATCCTTCCACTCTCTCTTGGCCTGCAGAGTTTCTGCTGAGAAATCTGAAAGTTGTATTGGGGCTCTGTTTAATGTGACATATTTCTTTTCTCTTGCTGTTTTCAGTATTCTTTCTAGGTCTGACATTTGATAATTTCATTATGCTGTACCTTGGGGAAGAATTCCTCTTTGGGTTGAAGTGGATTGGTGACCTCTGAGCTCCATTCATAGATGAGCTCTGAGCTCCATGTACCTGAATTCTACAATCTTTCTCCAGATATGGGGATTTTCAACCATTATTTTCTTAAATATTCTTTCTAGGCCTTTTTTGTCTCTTGTCTCCTTGCAATCTCCTATTATGCAGAGGTTTGTTTGATAGAGTCTCATAATTCTCATAGGCCTTTTTCACTGCATTTTATTCTTTTTCCTTTTTGCCCTCTGATTGGTTAATTTCATATGTTTTGTCTTTGAGCTTGCTGAATCTTTTTTTTTTTTTTTCCTGTCACTCAGGCTAGAGTGCAATGGTGCAACCATAGGTCACCGTAACCTTGAACCCCAGAGCTTAAACCACTCTCCCATCTCAGCCTCCTGAGGAGCTAGGACTACAGGCATGCACTACCATGCCTGACTTTTTTAAGAGACAAGGAGTCTTATTATATTGCCCAGGTTGGTCTCAAACTCCTGGTCTCAAGCAATCCTCTTACCTTGGCCTCCCAAAGTGCTGGGATTATAGGCATAAGGCACTGTGTTAGGGCCCAGGCTTGCTGATTCTTTCCTTTGTTTGATCAGGTCTGCTGCTGAAGTTTTCTGTTGGGTTTTTCAGTTCAGTTATTGCATTCTTTATTTCTAGAATTTTGATTTGGTTTTTAAAAGTTGTTCCTAGGCTGGGCATGGTGGCTTATGCCTGTAATCCCAGTGCTTTGAGAGGACAAAGGGAGAGGATGGCTTGAGCCCAGGAGTTTGAGACCAGCCTGAGCAATATAGGGAGACCCTGTCTCCACAAAAAAATTAAAAATTAGCCAGGCATTCTGGCTTGTGCCTGTAGCAGTCACTTGGGAGGCTGAGGCTGAAGGATCACTTGAGACCAGAAATTCAAGATGGCATTGAGCTATGATCATACCACTGCACTCCAAGCTGGGTGAAAAAGTGAGCCCTCCATCTCTAAAAAACAAACATCAAATAAAAATTGTTCTTATTTCTTTGTCAAATTTCTTATTTTGTTTCTGGATTGTTTTATAAATTTTATTTAATTTTCTATTGATATTTTTTGTGATTTCCTGAATTTTTAAAAGAGGGTTATTATTAATTATTTCTCAGGCAGCTCACAGATCTTTAATTCTTCAGGGTCTATTACCAGAGCTTTGTTGGTTTTTTTCCCTGATTTTTTTTCAGTCTTGTGTCTTTACATTGATGCCTGTTCATTCGAAGAGATGGCCACCTCTTCCAACTTTTGCAGGTGTTCTTTGGTGATGTTAGACTTTTATTACTTAACATTAGAACTTTATTTGCTGGCCTGTAGTTGCTTCCCATTCTGGAAAGGATTTATATTGAGCACCAGAACTTAAACACTTCCCTGGAACTAAATCACCACCCTTTCATTTTTTCCCAATCTGGGGAAGACTTATTGTGAGTACCAGAACTTATAGCTCGCACAGGAACTTAAACACAGACCTGCAGTGGTTTCCAGGTCTGGGGAAGACTTAAGAGAGCACCAGAACTTCATCACTGACCTTTCAGTTGCTTCCAGGTCAGGGGAAAGTTCCATGTAAGCATCCGGGCCGTGTGGGAAATCTGACCAGGGACTCAGGCCTTCCCATGGGTTGTGTCCCATGAAGCACTATGGCACTATCCAGTCTCCTCTGTGTGATGCCCAGCTGATTTAAATGCAGAGTAGCCACCAAGATCCACATGCCATTCCCCGTGATAAGCACCTTTTCCCCCCACTTGTCTTCAATTCACCCCAGGTGGTTCAGTCCTCCTGGCATTCCCAGTGCTTCCTGTGGGACAGGACTGCCATGGGCTTCCCATGAAAATTCCCAGACCAGTGGGGAGATAGAATGTCCACTTCCAGTTCCCTCCTTCCATCTTGGAAACTGTGGGTCCAGGGAAGTTCTCTGTGAGTGGCGGTTATGCCAGCTTAGGGGAGAGGGTGGCACAGTCTAAAATGGCCATTTCTGTTACCAGTTGTGGTTTTGTTGTAGGGGCTTTCTCCTCTTCTCTCTCAGGTTCTGGTGAATTCAAGGTGGTGTTCTTGTCTTTGAATAGTTACTAGCTGTACTTTTGTGGGGAGGAGTGGTGCTGAGGATCTTCTATTCCACCAACCATAAATGAACTAATTTCATAAATAAAATTAAAATTTCCACTATCCAGAAAGTCACTTTCCACACCATTTTATGAGTGGATAAGAATGGGTAATTATGTATGTGTATATTTTCATGTTATTAACATGCTTAAACAAAGATCCACCCCAAGTCTCAGTCTTTAAGAGTACAGAAAAAACAGTTGAGGTTTTTAAATATTAGCCCTTTATTTTTCCTTTCTTACCATTCTTTACTAATATAAAGGAGTAGTTTTGACTTATTTTCACATAGATTTAAATTATCCTTCCATTCTTTAATTTATCCTTTTATTTAAATCCCTTTTAAAAGTTATTTAAAATAAATACATATATATTCTAACAAATATTAAAACAATAAAGGTAGGTATAGAGAGCTTACCTCCATTATATTACCCATTTTTCTCTTTCCATTTTAAATTTAAATTTCACATTTAAGATTTTAACTTTGTACATAATTCTATAAATTATAAACCATGTTAGAAACGCATCTATTTCTTGACCTATCAACTTTATTTATCTTTAAAATTAAGATACATTCACGTTTAACAAATTAGCATATTATCTGGTGCACACAGTTCCCTTTCCCTACTCCCAGAGAACCACTGTCATATCTTGCAACATTTTTTTCCTGATATTTATGTTCATATTTTAAGGCAATGTTTTTTCTATTTTTCTTAAATTATTCATTTTAGCTGTTATCTATTGATTACAGATATATATATTTAATCATCTTCTAATATATCACCTGCTTTTTCTTTTTGTTTCAATATAATTATTGCATAATTTTGGTTACATCAATAATAACTTTTACATGTTATGACTATGCAGTATACCAAATAGCGTTTTGTGAGTATGTTTCATTGCTTTTGTTTTAATACGTTGTCTATAATGTCCTTTTCCAGTAATGTTTGTTTGCTTGCTTGTTTTGTTTTCTATATTTCTATTTACATTTCCTCCTAAATGCACCAAGAGATTTTTCAGTCTACCAAATCTATTCCAAATGTTGAGATATCATATGCTTTATCAATTCCTTTCTTATTCTTGTGTGTCTTTCTCCCAAAGTCCTAGAAACAGACCTTGAAACAAGAATTAAAATGTAGGTAATTTGTTTAGGAGGTGCAGGAAACACCAGGAGAGAAAGGCAGTGAGATATGGAAGGAAAGTCAACCAAAAAGGATATGTTAGCAAGCTAGTTAGGATGACCACAGCCTCATCCCAAGGGACACTGATAAAGATGGTGAACTCGCACCTCAGAGTAATCATAGCTAAGGGTAGGGAGCTGGGATATTTATACATACTTCCATCAGTTGTTAATTGAGATCTGCTTCTGCAAGGTGTTATCTTCAGTTTATCCTGCTAATTGCAAATCAGAGTAGCCTTCGATGGTTGTGGAAAAAGCCTGGGTAAAAGGAAACAGATATAGGCAGTTGGAAGTTGTTTAGAGTGTGCTAAAGTGGCAGGGCGCTGGTGATACTGACAGGACATTGACAGGGGCTGCTACACACTACAACAAGCAATGGATGTTCTCATATCTGTAGACTCGCCTTCCTGCCCTGTCTTTACTTTGTTGACTCATGTTCTCTTTCTTATTTCCTCATTTTATTGGAGCACATCCTCCAGGAACTTCCTAAGAAATGATGTATAGGAAGTAAGCTATTGAGTGAACTCCTATATTCTTGAAACTGTCATTATTTTCACACTTGATTGATAGTTTGGCTGGGTGTAGTAGGGTGGGTAAAGTGTAATTTTTCCTCTCATTTTAAAGGAATTTGTCTACTGTTTTAATATATTCCATACAGCTATTGAGAAGTCAAAAGACATCCTGATTTCTGACCTGACTTTTCCTCAACGCTGGAAGCTTTTAGGATACAATCTTTACTCATGGTGTTCTAAAATATCATGTTGGTATACTTTACTGTATGATTTATTTTTATTTATTATGCTAATTCTTGATGGGCTCTTTCACACTATAAACTCATGTTCTTATTATTCTGAGAAATTTTCTTAGAAAATGTTTTCAGTAACATTTCTTCACTGTTTTCTCTTTTCATGGAAACCAAAATCATTTGATATTGGACCTCCTTGTTAATTATTGGATTTAGTTATGTTTTCTGCCCTCATTCTTACCTTCAATTCTCCAAACATTTTTTTGGAGATTTCCTTGACTTCATTTTTTTTCTGAATTTTTCAATTTCTTTTAAGAACACTTGCTAACATTTTTCAAAGAATTTTTAAAAATTGTTTTCTGTTTTTAAAAAAATAGTAATCCTGTTCTTTCCACCTAGATTCATTATTGTCTCTATGGAGCTATTTTGCAATAGAGAAGTATGATTTTGCTCCCTGCAAACCTCTGTTAATGATCATTGGTCAGCAGTTGTTCTTTAAGAGTAAGGCCTAAATAATCTCATTTAAAGTTCTGTGTATGTGAACAAATTTTGCTGGCAGCAGGCTTACTTGCAGCCTGATGGGACAGTGAGGCATTTTAAATTAACTTGTGGCTATAACAGAGAGTGTTAATTGTTTCCCTGTATTAACCTCTATTTTCACTTTAAGTAATAGAACCACTTCTACCATTTCAGCAGGGCACAGTGTTGCTCAACTAGTCCCTCCCTTGGAGCAACCTCCCAATAAATGCAACATGCTTGTCACCTTCTTAAAAAGGAAGCTTCTTGCTCTCCTCTTCCTCTTCCATACTCTTGAGGGCTGAAATGCTGATAGGGTGCCTGAGAGCCAGCTTCTGCCTTTTTGAGAAGGACAGCATCCTAGGGGATATTAAAGCAACAAGGAGAAAAGGCCCTAGTCCCTAGTTGACCATGTTGAGCAGTACTGCCTTCCATCCTGACTGGGTTTTTGCCTCCGAACTGTTTTTGAAAGAAAAATAAAGTTCTACCTGCTCTGAGCCATTGAGTTTTTGGTTGTCCTATCTCATGACAAGTATAGGACAATGAATATCCAAATACTGATGTTTATAGGTGTCTTCTTTGTTGCTGTCCAGTTGCTCCAGAGAAGGAACTTCTGTGGTTTTTTTTGCCTGTTTACAACTTGAGTTTACAACTTAAATTTCTCCTGTGCAAGATGAGGCAATTACTGCTTCTGTACTTTTTAAAATTCTGTTTCCCCCTCTATTCCTCAGTCTATTTCCATCACCACATTACTTTTGCACTATCAACATCGAGAGAACTTTCTTTCCTGAAATGATTGCTCCTATCCCTAAAAGACACAGCAGTTGCGTTTGTCTCCTTGCTTTAAGTTAAATGTTTTTCTTTACACTATGACTAACTAGTTCATATATTTCCTTCAGAAGTTCACCCACAGTGGTGCTGAATAATTACACCAGGAGTAAAAAATGTATAGGTTATTTGGAATGTGAATCTGGTGCTAAAGTTTAGTTGAGCCTGAGAAAAGTCAACTACGAAACCCCTGCTGCCAAATATTCTTCTTTGACCACAAGAAAATAAATTAAAACGAAGTGAATTCTTTCTATGTCAGGTTTAATAATTGTGGGGAGAAAGCAATTGGAAAGCTAGAGGCTCGGCTCTGCCCTAAAAAAGTTATAACTAAAGAGAGACTATTTTGATTCCATTACCATTTTATATTTATGGGCACTATAAAAGGGGGATGCTATTTTCTAATATTTCTCTGAATTTAGGAATTACCCTTCCTAGTGCTGTTTCTGCCAATTTTAACCAATAAGTGACCTTCTGATACCAAGTCTATTTGCATATTTAGGGATATAGTGAATTCTCCTTTATTTAAAAAATAATACTCTTTATTCAAAATGTAAATACATTGAATAGATTATGTAATTAAAAATTATTTCCATAAAATTATTTTCCCTCAGAAACTTTATATGCCATCTATCTCAATACCAAGTAGAAGCTTACTACAAGTTTTAGATTATCCCAAAATGTCTGAGTCTCAGCCTGGGTCCAATCAGGAGACAGAAACCATACAATGATTTAAATAGAGGAAATTTAATATACAGAATTACTAAACTCTGATAAAAAAGTAATTATAAAATTTAAGAAAACTCTGTATGGTATTCTAGGGCTGAGGCAAGGTACTCAAGGGAGACAAACTGCAATGAGGTGCCCCTTCCCAAGGCTGGGGTTTAGACTTCATTAAAAAAGGTATAGTAGCAATCCACTGGATGCCAGAGAAGTTCACTAGTTGCCTGGACAAGAGCTGGTCTGTGGTCATTGGGCAAGTAGAAACCAAATATCCAGAATAGAGGCAGAATATAGGTGAGCTCCAGCTGGTGGCTACATGCATAAGCCTGCAGATAGGGTTGGGGGTCACTGGAACATGAGCTATCTGTGAGGGGAACCACAGATAGTGGCCAGATGGGCAGGTGTGCAGAAAAGTGACCCCAGTAGCAAGTCTTCAAGGCAGAGAAAGCACATAGGCAAGTAGGTGGCCAGGTGTGAGGGCATGAAGAGGGAGTAGGGGTGCTGTTGTGGCAAGAGTCTTGGAGAAGTATCCGTCAGAAGAACCACGGGGAGGTGATAGCCAGCCTGGTCCACGACTGCAAGATTGCCAGGGGATAGTGCATTCTGGGAAGAGGGCCTGGGGCAGACCACCCCCATATATCTTACTAACCCATCATGTAGCAGCAGGAAACAGCAGGAGAATCCTTGCTTCCTGCAATGTCCCTCAAGCATCCTCTAATGAGAATATTAAACATCATTCTCACTGTAAAGGATTAATACTTAAGGGAATTTCATCCATTATCACAGAGCTGTAATAAACGGTTAGTTTGGATGTGAGAGGAAATGCACTGATAACTGGCACGGCACGTATAACTTAATGATGCTAAAATAAAAATGCAAAGTCAAAATACTCAAGGATTGCTTACAGCGAGACTTATGGAAGAGGAAGTACAGGAAGAGTAGCAGCAAATTCACTAAAATTTAGACTTATAAGCAATTTTGTTGAGTTTATTTTCAGTCAAGGAAAAATGATTATATATTTCCTACTAGTTGATAAAAAGAAACAGTTCTGAAAGAGGAGCTTATTTTCACTAATTAAAATAGAAAAACTTAAAATAGAAAATTAAAATTTATCCCATGGGCCATTTAATAAGAAACAGTGAATAACATAATTAGGACAATGCCAATAACATGGACAATAGCAAAGTTGTTTTTCAAATAGCCAAATATACCAGCCTTTAATAAGAACTGAGTTGATCTATTAAAACATAAATTAAGACTGATGCTTTTACAAGAAGTTAAGCAAGCTACTGATATCCAGGTACAGCTACTAAAGCTTTGTTTTGAATCAAAGATAGACCCTGGAATACATAGAAAAATGAATGGATTTCGTCTCTGTTAGACTAGTGATTCCTGCATTTGCTGAACATGAGAATAACTTCAGGCATTTTAAAAATAATTCAGGCATTGAAGCCTCATCAGATATATTTGATTAGGGGATTGGGAATCTGCATTTTAGCAAACACAGATATTTTGGGGGAGCTGCCTCACTCAAGGTGGCAGTCTTTCTCTGGGACACCCACATTTATTGATTGGTTGGTGCAGTGGTACAAAAGCCCAGCTTTACTTAATCCTGGACACCTTTGAAGGGCCAGTCCAACTTTAAGGATGCTCTGAAGTCTCTGATGCAACTGCTTCAAAGTTTTGCTTTTCTGTCTTCCTTCTCATTCTTCCTTTACAGACAATGTTCCTGTAAGAACGCCTCAATAAACCACTCTGCATGCACATTTATATTTCTTCTGTTTTGATTTACTTGTTTGTGTTGTTTCCTCATGTGTTTGACAATTTTATTTTTAAATGATTTGTAAAGAAGGCTTTTATATTTAAGACATGAAATTTTAATTGTTATATCTGCTTTAATTATTTAATTGAATTTTTTTTTTTGAGATAGGGTCTCGCTCTGTCATCCAGGCTGGAGTGTGGTGGTGTTATCATGGCTCACTGCAGCCATGACCTCCTGGGCGCAAGTGATCTTCCTATCTCAGCCTTCTGAGTAGCTGAGACCACAGGCATGCACAACCATGCCCAGCTAATATTTTTTATTTTTACTTTTGTAGAGACAGGGTCAGGATCTCCCTATGTTGCCCAGGCTGGTCTCGAACTCCTGGGCTTACAGGATTCACCCTGTTGGGCTTTCCAAAGTGTTGAGATTACAGGCATGAGCCACTGTACCTGGCCTTAAAATTTTATTATTCTTTCATTTACTTAATAGTGTTTGATATATTGGAGATTTAAAAAATTGTATTCAAATTAAATATTTTTCCATTTAATTATTTCCACCCTCACTCTAATGCTTAAAAACATTACGCCTATTGGGAGGCTGAAGCGGGTGGATTGCCTGAACTCAGGAGTTCGAGACTATCCTGGGCAACACAGAGAAATCCTGTCTCTACTAAAATACAAAAAATTAGCTGGGCATGGTGGCATGCACCTGTAGTCCCAGCTACTCGGGAGGCTGAGGCAGGAGAATCACTTGAACCCGGGAGGTAGAGGTTGCAGTGAGCTGAGATCACCACTGCACTCCAGCCTGGGTGACAGAGCCAGACTCCATCTCCAAAACAAAAACAAAAACAAAAATAAAAACAAAAAACATTGCAACCAAAAAGTATATGACTCTCTATGGACATTTAGTGCTCCCAATGGACTTATTTAAAAACAGGAAATCAATAGTTAAAAGCAATCCTCAAGGATTGTCCAGAGTTAGTTCTGTGAGGAGGAAGTACCAGAAGATAGAACAGGGACAAAATGAGAATCAAAGCAGACTGGGGATTCTTACCCCTACTTCCCAAGTTTGTTTTTTAGTTAAAAAGAAAATACTGAAAAATTTTATCAGCAAATGTATAACTGCCCTCATTTCTCAATTGCAAAACTGTGAGAGGGTCTGATATAGGTGTGTGCTTAGTTTTAACCAAGTCCCACTTCTGAATCCAAATCTTTCAACAGTGTTTGAACACTAAAATAGTATGAATAGACATGTTATGATCCAGCATGTAGAAAACTATGGTCCAATACTGTACAGTATTTCCTATTTTATCCAGCTACTCAGTTTCTTTCCCCCTCCAAGATACATCCCTAATTTATTCCAGAAAGATTTTACTTAACATGCCAGTCCTCTCAGTCTGTCACCACTTCTTCTTACAGAACTTGTTTCCTCATTCCTACCTCATCTTGCCCTATTCCTCCTTTTCAAATGCCATCATTCTCTTGATTTGTAGCAATCACCTTTTTTCTGTTATTTATAGTTTTATAAAATAAGAATGCATCCCTAAATAATCTAGCTGAGTGTTTGTTACTTCTTTTTATATATGAGATCATGCAGTATATATTATATTTTGACTGATTTCTTTTGCTTACATTTGTGAGATTTATGTTGTGTCTAGTTGTTATTTATTCATTTTTATTGCTATATATTACACCATTCTGTGACTGTACTATAATTTATGTATCCATTTTATTAAGGATACAATTTAGATGGCTTTAGTTCTTTGGTGATTACATAACTATGAATATTCCTATACATGTCTTTTGGTGTACACGCTGGTTGTATAATGTACATATTCAACTTTCATAGACAAATTTCCAGAATCTAGATTTATATCCTGGCTATGCTGCTTAAAAGTTATACAATCAGTAAAATACAATTTAGATCTTTTGAAATAATCCAGTCAAGGGGAAAAATAAATAAATACTAGTAAAAAAGAATGAAGAAAGCCTACATGTGTTTTCATGAAAGTACTAAACTCACTAGGAAGGTAAATTTACAAATCACACTTAGAATACTCCAGTGATGTTATGGTGCGGTGTAAATCTCTCAATCCTCTAGTATAAATGTTTAAAGTCAAAATAGTCAAAACGACAACAGCTACAATTAGTGGCTAAGGAACACAGAATAGATAAAGAAGTAAATTAGGGCAAGAAAAATATAAATTGCGAGAAAGGCAGAAAAAGTCTAGAGTATTTTTATGCAACCAAAGTTAAGTTGATATCAGCTAAAAATGGTCAATATAACTATGGGACTGTTTATGTTTGCTGCATGGTTAACTACAAAGAAAGAAATTACAGCAGGCACACAGATAAGAAAGAGAAAGGGAACAAGTTAAACACCACAGAAAACCACCAACAAGAGAGGAAGCAACAAAAAATGAAGAAAGAAACAGAGAATCTATATAACAACCAAAGCAATTAGTAAAATGGCAAGAGTCCTTACCTATCAACAGTAACCTTGAATGTAAATAAGTTAATTTTTTATATTGAAAGATACATAGTGGCTAAATGAAGAAAACTACAAGATCCAATGACGTGCTACCTATAAGAGACTCATTTCATGGTTAAAGTCAAATATAGACTCAAATTGAAGGGATGGAAAAAGATATTCCAAGCAAACAAAAACCTAAAGCAAACAGGAGTAGCCATACTTGTATATAATAGACTTGAAGTTAAAAAAAACTGTAAAAAGGTCATTATATAAAGATAAAAAGATCAACAAGAGTAAATAAGAATTATAAATACATATGCACCTAATCCTAGAGCACCCATATATATAAGCCAGATATTGTTAGACCTAAAGAGAGAGATGGAATGCAATACAATAATAGTAGGCAACATCAACATCTCACTTTCAGCAATGGACACATTATTTAGAAAAAAAAAATCAACCCAGAAACATCAGACTTAAAGTGCACCATAGACCAAATGGATCTAACTGACCTTTACAGAATATTCCACACAACAGCTACAGAATACACATTCTCAACTGCACATGGAACATTCTCTAGGATATATCAGATGTTAGGCCACAGAACAAGTCTTGAAACATTTAGGAAGGAAGAGATCATATCAAATAGGTTTTCTGATCACAATAATGTGAAACTTGAAATTAACAACAAGAAAAACTTTGGAAACTTTACAGATACATGAAAGTTAAATGACATGTCCCTAAACAACCAATTGGCCAAAAAGAAATTAAAAGGAAAACTAAAAGATTTTTTGAGACAAATGGGAATGACAATACATTATACCCAAACCTATAGGACACAGCAAAACTAGTTCTAATTGGGATATTTATAGTAATAAACACCTACATAAAAAAGAAGAGAGATTTCTAATAAACACCCCAAGGAACTAGACAAACAAGAACTAACTAAACCTAAAATTGGTATAAGGAAGAAAATAATAAAGCTCAGAGCAGAAATAAATGAAAAAGACATGAAAAAAAAGAGGCCGGGCGTGGTGACTCACGCTTGTGATCCCAGCACTTTGGGAGGCCAAGGCAGGCGGATCACGAGGTCAAGAGATCGAGACCATTCTGGCTAACACAGTGAAACCCCATCTCTACTAAAAATACAAAAAATTGGCCGGACGTGGTGGCAGGTGCCTGTAGGCCCAGTTACTCAGGAGGCTGAGGCAGGAGAATGGCGTGAACCTGGGAGGTGGAGCTTGCAGTGAGTGGAGATCGTGCCACTGCACTCCAGCCTGGGCAACAGAGCAAGATTCCGTCTAAAAAAAAAAAAAAAATTGAAAGAGCAATAAAATGAAGTTGGGATTTTGAAAATATAAACAAAAATGACAAACATTTAGCTAGACTAAGAGAAAAAGAGAGAATACTGAAATAAATAAAACAGAGATTAAAAAGGAGACATTACTACTAATACCACAGAAATAGAAAGTACTATAAGATACTATTATAAACAACCATATGCCAACAAATTTGATAAGATAGAAGACATGGATAAATTCCTGGATACATACAACCTACCAAGATCAAGTTATGAAGAAATAGAACATCTGAACAGACCAATTAAAAGTTGAATTGAAGAGAAAATTCAATCAGTAATAAAAAGTTTTCCATCAAATAAAAGCCTAGGACCTTATGTCTTCGTTGCTGAATTCTACCAAACATTTAAAAAAGAACTAATACCAATTCCTCTCAAACTATTCCAGAAAAATAGAAGAGGAGGGAATACTTACAAACTCATTTTGCAAAGCTAGCATTACTTTGATTCTAAAACTGGACAAGAACACAAAGAAAAAAGAAAACTATAGGCTGATACCCCTGATAAGCATCGATGCAAAGATTCATAACAAGATACCAGCAAACCAAATCCAAGAGCACATTAAAAAAATTATTCATTATGATGAAGTGGAATTCATCCCAGGGATCCATGGATGGTTTATCATACTCAGATCAATAAATGTGACACACTACATTAACAGAAAGAAAGAAACATGATACAATCATTTCAATAGGTGCAGAAAAAGAATGTGACAAATTTCACATTCCTTCATGACAAAAACTCTCAACAAATTAGTATAGAAGGTATGCACCTCAATACAATAAAGGACATATATAAAAAACTCATAGCTAACATCATACTGAATGGAAAAGCTTCATATACAAATGGACCAATGGAACAGAAGAGAGAGCCCAGAAATAAACTTACTCACCAAAAGCCAACTGATTTTTGAAACAGGTGAGAACACATACTGGAGAAAAGACAGTCTTCAATAAATGGTGCTGGGAAAATTGGATATTCGCATACAGAAGAATGAGACTAGATCCCTACCTCTCATTATATACAAAGTCAACTCAAAATGGATTACAGACTTAAATATAAAACCCCAAACTACAAAACTACTAGAAGAAAATATAGGGGAAGTGCCCCACATCATTGGCCTATTGACTTAAATGGACATGAGTTGGCAATTCATATAATTAAGGACAGATGGCTATATGAAACCATCTCAACTTACCTAAGGTTTCAGAACAAAAGGTGAAATCCTATATTTCACTGCAAGTTAATTTTATATATCACTTTGGGTCATACTTCTTAAGTAACTTGTTTCTGAAGTAAACTTAGGATATGTGAGGGTTTTTCTCATTCAGGGGGTAAGAATGACTTTATAGAGATCTTGCTTTGAAGAAGTCTCTGATTAATGAATGACTGGAACCAAGAAACATAACAGTAATACTACTTATTGTTTGCGGTTGTTGGTAAAAGCCATACTTAAAAAATTCTGAATGACCCAACGGATTTTTGCTTTTGTTGACAGTTGCCATAAGAAAATCATATAGATGGATGGATAGATATAGATAGATATATGATTCATAGAGACATCTCCAACTGTTTTCCTCTGTCTTGTCATTTTCTTGCTTTTCTTAAGCTTTCTCTTTCTCCTATAACTCTTCTGCCATTTCCTTGTTCAGATAATTTCCTTGGCTCACTTGGCCAATTGCTATAGTCTTCTTAATCAATCTCCCTGTCTCTTCTCTCTGCCTCTTTCAATCTACCTTGTATACATCTGCCATAATAGTCTTTCAAAAACACAGTAATCATGTCATTTGAAAAAAGTGTATGTATATTCCCTAGTTTCAAGCTCCCAATCTTGGTATTGAAAACCTGATCAAACCCAGTTCTAACCTGCCTCTCTATCTTTAACTATCATCTCCTATCAGGAATTCCGTATCTTCTAATCAATCTGAAGTACTAATTACTATTTTCAAGAAATAACCTTTACCTTCTCACTGCTGTGCCTTTACTTAATTTTTACTATTGCCATAAAATATTCCACATTTAACACTCCAAATTTCACAGCAATATCTACTACCTCTGTACAGTTCACCCCAGATCTCTGGAATTTACTGGTCTCCTGAATATGCTCCTGTTACAGAAAATACAAGCTATCTTTTATTACAAAAAGTTAATGCCTTTTCTTCTACATTTGATTATAATCTCCTTGAAAACAGTTCCCATTTTATTCTTCATAGTACTTTATGACAGGTAAGAATTCAATGACTGTTTATTAAGTTGAGTTCTTTCAGCAGAAAAACACTGAAGAGGCATCAGATCATGCACTCCCAGAGACCTCCACTTGCACTCCTTGAGGGCTCCACCCTCGATAGAAAAGGAGAAATCGCAGCTTCACTCGTCTCTAGGCTGTGGAAAGTCTCCAATTCAACTCTGTTCCAAATGATGCTGGTCACTGTTTTGTTGGCTACCATTCTTGGTAAGTAGTGGGGAGACAGGCCAGATGACCAGCATGCAACTGAGTTCATCACACACCCTATTTTAAGAGGTGTCTAAGAGATCTTTAACATTATGGAATATATTTGACCACCTGGAATTTGGGAAACATGCTATAAACTAAAAAAAGAAAATCTTGTTTTATAGACCGTCCTGATGCTCCCTTTTAGAATTTTTCTCTCCAGGAAACTCTGAACAACTTAACATTGAAACAATCATGACTTGTAATAAATGCGTATTATCTGCCAGCCTGGCCATGAACTCTCACTGCCTGTGTGGTTATTTAGAATGTAGAAGGGGTTGGTATAATTCTTCTGGGGCATTTGGAAGGTCACTCAGTACTTTGTTTAATTCTTGCCAGGGAAGTAGAATTAAGATTTTATTTTTCAAGGGTTTAATGATTCTCCACCTTGTAATGCTTTTGAAAAATATTTTATTTTTTAACAGGCCATTTATTCTAAATCTAAAAGTTCCAAAAGGACATAAATGAAATGCCTCCTCATCCTTGACTGAGGCAACTAATCTTGCATAATGCTATTTTTAGTAGAAAATATGTTTCTGCTAAGGCAGGAGGTAGAGTCATATGGCATGGCATAGCCACCTATATTCTGAGCAGACAGATGTGGGCAATCTGATAGAATGATGAAAATTAAGTCTATTCATTCACTTTCTAATAAATTAGCACTTATACAGTCAAAGATGGACAAACTTTTCCTGCCTTTACTCATTATTGTTGTCATTATCATTACTCAACAAATGTGTATTATTGATCACTTACTGCGCTCATTGAACAATGACACAATAGGAGTTATGATAAAAGAGAAAATCATGGTCTCTGCTCTAGAAAACTTAGTACTCGGACATCGAGACATTGTGTCCCAAGATATAACTGTTGATGTTCCTTGCCATTTTTTTGTGTGTGCAGGTGACTGTGGTCCTCCACCTGAGTTACCATTTGCTTTTCCAATAAATCCGTTGTATGATACTGAATTCAAAACTGGAACTACTCTGAAGTACACCTGCCACCCTGGGCATGGTAAAATCAATTCAAGTCGACTGATTTGTGATGCCAAAGACTCGTGGAACTATAGTATCTTTTGTGCAAGTAAGTATCAACATTTATTTTTCTCACCTTTACTTTTTTTCCCAGAAAGTTCTTTTAGGAACTTAATGAATTACTTAATTCATATGAAAATCTTCTATCAAAACAGTTCAAAATTAACATCATCTATAGTATTTAGAAGAAATCAGTTGGGAATACACTTGGACATATTTTTTGAACAGTTAGAATATAGCATCTGCTTCCCTTTTCCTTCTGTTTCCCTGTGACGAAGGTCATATATTTTCGAGAGCATACATTTTTATGGACAACTGGTCAATAAATACATCCAGTATTATCACAGTGGTCTAACTGAGCAAATGAAACTAAGTGAAGTTTTTTTTTCTCTTCTTAAAATGTGTCAGAAAAATGAGATATATGTCTATATATTTTTTTTCAAAGCAAAATATTAACGAGTCAGAATAAGAAATAAGCATTGAAAAATATCTCTAGGTCTATCTGGAAGCAGGAGTTAAAGTTAGTGAACCAGACTTTTTTTTCCCCTAATGTTCTATTTTGTGAGTAATTGGAATCATGAGTCATTATTTTAATTTTCCTCCTAGAGAAACGATGCAGAAATCCAGAATTAATCAATGGGATAGTGGAAGTTAAAAAAGATCTTCTCCTTGGTTCAACCATATAATTCAGCTGCTCAGAGGGGTGAGTATAAGGCAACCTAGAAGCAATAATTTCCTTTTCAATTAATTTTTATAAGGAGTTAATACATTTATATGTTTCAAAAACAAAAGTGGCATAAAAAGGTATACATCAATAATTCTTACTTCCACCCCATCCTCATTCATCCCATTTCTCTCTGCCCTCTGACAGAAAATGACATTGATTAGTTTCAGATTTATCCCTTTAGTGTTTACTTCTATAAATACAAGTGAGTACAAGTATTTTTGTCAATACTTTTCCCTCTTTATTATACAGAAGATACCTGACTGCATACATCGTTTCGAACCCTGCTTTTGTTTTTTTCACTTACAACATTGCTATGGACTGAATTTTTTTGGTATTCCCTCAAAATTCATATCTGAATCCCCAGTGTGATGGTATTTGGAGATGGGGCCTTTGGGAGGTCATTAGGTCATGGGAGCGGAGTCCTCATGTGGGGATTAGTGTCCTTATAAAAAGACGTGAGAGAGCTTTCTCTCTCTCTCTCTCTCTCTCTCTCTCTCTCTCTCTGTCTGTCTTTCTCTCTCTGTCTCTGCCATGTGAGGACACAGCAGGAAGGCAAACCATCTGCAAACCAGGAAGTAGGCCCTCACCAGAACCTAACTATGTTGGTACCCTGATCTCAGACTTCCTAGCTTCCAGTACTGTGAGAAATAAATTTCTGTTGTTTAAGCCATCCAGTCTATGGTATTTTGTTATAGCAACCAGAAATAACTAAGACAAATATGTACTAGAGATCTTTGACATTCATGCACCAAGTGTGCCCTCATTCTCTCTCTCTGTCTGTGTGTATATGTATGTTTACAGCTGTATAGTTTTCTAACGCATGTATCGTAGCTTATCATCGTTTATTTAATGATTCCTACTGATGGATTTTTGTGTGTTTCCAATCTTTTCCTGTTACATACAATGTCCTGATGCATACTTTTTATATATGTTATGTTATATATATTAATATAGAGAGATGTTTGTAGGACGAATTCCCAGAAGTGGGATTGTTGGATCAGAGAGAAGATGCTTTGAAATTTTGCTAAATATTGCCAAATTGCTCTTTATAAACTGTAAAATTTTGTAATGTAAACAAACGCCTGTGTCTTTACCTCTGTGATTTACTATTTTTGAATTTTTTGCCTATTAAAAAGAGAAAATAAAATCTCTGTATAGTATTTTTTAAGTTTTTAATTTTTTTCAGACCTCTCAGGGGTGAAAAACTTTTTATTTTGAGGTAAGTATAGGTTCACATGCAAATATTAAAAAAATACAGAAAGAATCCATATCTTTCTCTAGATGGCCTTCGCATTGTCTTGGCATCATTTATTAATAAGTCTACATCTAATCCATGTGAGAGAACATCTTTTAAAAATACGTATTTAATACTTCAGCGTATATTAGTCTTTTTTAGATGTTCTATTCAATGCTTTTAGTCTTTCTGTATATTCACACAACCAGCTCCTTTCTCTTGAATTTTTAGTGTGCAACATCACTTAGAGGTATCCGCCTGACTGTTCTGTTTTTATAGAGTTTTCCTATGTTTGCTTGTTTGTATTTCTATATGAACTTTTAAATTGGTTGATTTTTACTTTTAATCAATTGTATTAAGCTTTTAAATGAACTTTAAGAGAATAGACATTTTATGATATTGCATCTTGCCAGCCAAGACTTTCCATTTGTCCTAGTTGTCTATGTGTGTGTGGCTGTGTGTGTGTGTTTCAGGACTGTTTTAAAGCTTTCCCCATTTACATTTTTCAATTCTTATGTTTGGTCTCTGCTATCTTATTTTATTTTTGTCTTATTTTTGAGATTGCAAATGGTGTCTTTTCTTCCATTATATCTCCTAACAATTTTTATTCATATATATGGAAACTACTTATTTCTATATATTAATATCATATCTCAGCTAATGCCTTGAATTTCCTTATTACTTATAATAGTCTATCAGTTGGTGATATGGCTTGGCTTTGTCCCCACCCAAATCTCATTTTGAATTGTAGCTCCCGTAATTCCCACGTGTGGTGGAAGGGACCCCATGGGAGATAATTGAATCATGGTGGGGGGCGGTTTCCCCCTTATTGTTCTCATGGTGATGATTAAGTCTCACGAAATCTGATGATTTTATAAGGGGTTTCCCCTTTCACTTAGCACTCATTCTTTCTTGCCTGCTGCCATGTAAGACATGCCTTTTCCCTTCCGCCAAGATTTTGAGGCTTCCTCTGCCACGTGGAACTGTCAGTCCATTAAACCTCTTTTTCTGTATAAACTACCCAGGCTCAGGTATGTCTTTATCAGCAGTGTGAAAACGGACTAATACAGTCGGATTTTCTTGGGATTTCCAGATATGTAATTATGTCATCTGAAAATAATGATTCTGTTATTTTCTCTTTTCCAATTTTTGTATTTCTAATTCCTTTTTCTTATGTACTTATGCTAGCAATTATCTCAAATAAAAAATTGATACCAGTTATTTTTCTCTTATACTTGACTCTAGCAGAAATGACTAGCATTTTCTTCCTAAATTTAGTGGAGCTGTATCTGCACTGATTCCTGTTATATTGAACATTTTTGGCCAAAACTAATTGTTGATTATTTTTCAAATGCCATTTTAGTGACTATCAAGATGATGGTTTATTTTTCTTAATAGATTTATTAATATCATGTATATATTAGTCTGCTCAGGCTTTCATAAAAAAATACCAAAATCCCACGGGCTGGGACAGTTCTGGAGTCTAGAAGTCTCAGAACAAGGTCCCACAGGTTTTGGTTCCTGTTGAGGGCTCCCCACCTGGGTTGCAGATGGCTGGTTGTCTTCTCACTGTGTCCACACATGATCTTTCCCTGGTGTCAGCATGAGGGTGCAGGGACTGCAAGTGGGAGATCTTTGTGGTGTTTTTTCTTATAAGGACCCTAATCTTACTGGATCAGGGCTCCACCCTTCTGAACATTAATTACTTACTTATGCAAATATAGCTACACTAGGGGGTTAGGGCTTCCACATATAAATTTTGAGGAGATAGATACATTCAGTCCATAACAAGTTATTCTATATTAATATATTTCCTAATTTTGAAGGATCCTTTTATTCTTTAAATAAAACTATACTATTTGGTCATTGTATAATTTTCTTTTTAAAGTGTTCCTGGACTCTGTTTGATAATATTTTATTCAGGAACTTATTATTGATATTCAGAGTAAATTTTTTTTTTAAAGGCAAAAGGTCCTAGAATAAAGACTGGGACTTGTCAAGAGCAAGAACAATGAGATGATAATCAGGAAGTTAGGAACTTATGAGTTCCTAAGGAACTCTCAGGTTTATGAGAGTAAGCTAAGCTCTAGAAGCCAGAAAAAAGATTCAAATTAGAGGTCAGAGTACTAGTACACATCAGTAATGTGTCTTGCTCGTTTATTTAAAGGAAACTACATAACAAACTCAAGTGAACCACTTACTTGTTTTGAACTGCTTGATTTATAGCTTGTTAGGGAAAGAGTGTAAGATTTAAGACAAGTCCTCAGATTTTAGGTGTAAAACTTGTTGTGTTCTCTTTTTATTCATTTCGGATGGGTACCATGTGATACAAAGAAAAAGCTTAAGTTGCTTAGACAAGCTAGAGCATTTTAAAATTGAACAAATAAACCCTTCGCTTGATATGAGAAAATGTAACTGCAAGTTGGCCTAAATGGTAATTAGTAATCAAGACAGCATTATTTTTTCATTTTAAAATATTTAATAAAAATTTGTTTCTTTTTTTCTTTAACAGGAGAAAATTACAGTGTTTATTCATGCAACATACATGTGGGAGAGCTTGGTGATGAGTAACTCAAAGGGAGTGATTAGAATTTGGGGCTTATATACCATTTTAGTAGGTGAAGGGAGAAAGGCACTTATGGGAAACAAATGACTTTCTAGAAAGATAAATACATTTTCAGGAGAACAAACAGGAGATAAGAAAGTTAGTAAAAATATATATTTTTTGAATGTTTACTTTAGGTTCAGGGGTACATGTGCAGGTTTGTTATATAGGTAAACTCATGTCATGGGGATTTGGTATGCAGATTATTACATCACACATGTACTAAGCATAGTACTCAATATTTATTTTTTCTGATTTGTCCAAAACCTCATAGACAATTTATGTCTAGAGTAAATGAATTCCACTAAAATGTTTGACCTATCTTATTTAGATTTTTCTTAATTGGCTCAACCACCAGTCATTGTCAGATCCAAGGTAAAGGAGTTGATTGGAGTGATCCTCTCCCAGAACGTGTAAGTAAGTAAAACTTTTTTTTCTGACCTGACTACAAACCTAAACTACTTTAGGTAATAACACTGCTGTGAAATCTCACTGCTTCTTTTACCCTCCGTTAGAATTTGCATGAATTTTCGATTTAACCCAATGCCTACCCTGAGTGTTTCTTTCTCTTCACTCACTCACCTCAGTTGCCAAGTGCGAGCCCCCTCCAGACATCAGGAATGGGAAGCACAGCGGTGGAGATCAAGAATTCTACACATATGCCTCCTCTGTCACCTACAGCTGCAACCCCTACTTCTCACTCATAGGCAACGTCTCCATCTCCTGCACCGTGGAGAATGAAACAATAGGTGTCTGGAGCCCAAACCCTCCTATCTGTGAAAGTAAGTCAGAATGATTAGTTCTGCTTTGATCTCTTTTATTTGTTTAAAAACAAAAGGAAGGCATATTTATTAGGGAAGATGGAATGATTCAAAGAGAAACTAATCACTGCAATGATGGAGTCATTCATTTGTTCAACTAATCTTGTTACATGCTGTATCAGTCAGAATAGCATAGGCTGTGCTGCAGTAGTAATCAACACCTAAATCTCAAGGCCTTTATACAGTAAAAGTTTTTTTCAAGTTTCTTCTTAGTGCACTGCTAGCCTGGGAAACTCCCTAGGGCAGCTGTCACTTATATGGTAATCCAGATTGTTTAGATCTTTGACACCTCCATGTCAAAACTTCCACAATTAGTTCAGCGGGAGAAGAGAACAAGGAAAGTCAGTCTCTGGCTCTTCAGTTCTTTGACCTGGAAGTGACATATATCACTTGCCATTACAGCCTTTTGACCAGAACTAGTTCCTTATTTCTGCCTAATACAGAATAACCGGGAAACACTGTCTTTTGTTTACCTTACAATAACTGGAAGTATGGGTGGACACTAACAATGTCAACCATGCATGCCTAAGGAGCAAACAAAACACCAACACCAGCAGGTAATAAAGGTAATAAAACACAATGAAAGAAAGTATTTTCCCTTGGCCTCTCTATGGAAGCCAGAAGAGATGTTACGTCAATATCAGTAATGATTCAGCTTGCTGGTTTAGGACATTATTCTTTACTGCAAATAAAGTGCCTAAAAACCATAGTATCACATATTGTTTTGACTCAGTACAGGACACAGCCAATGCCGGGGTGAGAGAGAGCATAACAGTGAAAAGACTGCAAGAAGTGGAAAAGGCAGGAGCTGAGGCTGGATAAGTTAGTAGGGGCCAGGTTACGAAAGCTTTGTGTGTCACTTTCAGGAGTTTGGAATGAAGGAAAAGGGAAGACATTAAAAGGACAATGTGAAGTGAAACAAAACATAACTAATAGGCACCTGTTGCAACCTTTCAGCCAGGAAGTGAAAGTGGCTTCAACTGTAGCCACAGCAGTGAGCCTGGAGGAAAGTTGAGGAAGTATAGAGGAATTAAGATGGCAGGATTGACAGGACATGATGACTAACATGATGTGGGGTGAAGGCGGCTTGTTCTCTGCTTATGGAGGCGCAGCACAGATTTCCCGATACCCTGGCTGCCTCTGCATGACACCATATCATTACCATGGGTCACTGACCCCCAACCAAAATCATCCAGGAAATTAGGCCATTTAATGGAAGGATTTGGAGACATTGAGATTTGGACTTCAGGGTTTAGATATTGCCCATTCTTATTGATGAGAAAGTTGGAGGACTTTACATGACTAACATGATGGGACCTCATTTTGCTGAGGTTTCTGGCAACTGAAAGGAAGTATACAAATCTCCAAAATGTTTTCTTTGTTCAGCGCCTATTAAATATATATTTGTATCAGGCCCTCCTTGAAGCCATGCCAACAGTTACAGTCACATCTTTACTGCCATTTCTCTCTGATAACTCAGATGTCTTTTTGTATGCTTCTTTAGAAATTGTCTGTCGTCGACCACAGATTCCAAAGGCAATCTTTGTTTCTGGATTTGGACCCCTCTATACTTACAAAGACTCTATTATGGTTAACTGTGAGGAAGGTTATATCCTCAGAGGCAGCAGTTTAATCTATTGTGAAACGAATAATGAGTGGTATCCTTCTGTTCCCTCTTGCATATCCAGTGAGTATGGACTACGATGGAGTTCCAATATTTGGATCTAAAACTATCCTGACATATAGGTGTGGCATGCTCACAGGCACAAGCCAACTCTACTCCCAATAATCATTTTAAGATAAATTGGTACTTTTCTTGTCAAAAGGAAGATTTTTTTGTTAATAATCTCTTAGCGCTATTGGAAGAATTCCAAATATATAGTCATGAGACCAATGACTTCATAGATATTGTAGACTTATATATTTGCTATAAAAATTTTCCAGGAGACAATAGTAAAGTGTTTCAGTCTAACAAAATCAATGTATTACGAGAATTTTTTGAACAATGGAAGTAAGATTCCTTTAAGACAGTTCTTTTTTATAATTTGCATAGAAATGCTCTATGGGCCAATATTGGTCTTGAGACCTTCATGTTGTAAATACATACAGATCATTTATAACATTAATGATTTATTGCTAGCATTTATTGAGCATTTTCTATGTTATAAACACTGTTCTAAGTGCTTTACATCAATTAACTCATTCAATATTTACAACTATTCCAAGAAGTTGCTATTTTTTATCCAATTTTAATGGTGAGAAAACCGAAAAAGAAAGATTAAGTAACTGGCACAAGCTCACATAGTTAATTGGAGGTGGAAGCCACCACTACATTGTGGTTTATCTAGTCTCTTCTGCTATCACATAAACTTAGGTGCCATTCAAAATGTGTAGTAATGAAATTCAATAAATACACAATTTGACAGACACATATCCTCTCTTTGATTCACACTGACCTTTAGCATATTGTTGAATAGAAAAAAAAAATACAAGATGAAAGGCCCAGCTGCAAAAGTTATATGGGGCTTGGTTTGAGGCCAAAGCATGAAGTTGCAGATGATAGTGTCATGATGTCAAGAAGAATGCCTCTTATTTTAATTCCCCATTAGGCAATGAGATTAGAAAGTCATTCTCATCTTGGAGCAAATTTTTGCTGTGTCTTTCTAGTGATCCTAATTCTTCCCCTGAAGACCAACCATTCTAAAGTGCAGTGATGTGAAAGGAAAACTAAGCTCCTACGGAGTTGACCCAGCACCTAGAAACTGTCCCCTTCCTACACCATGGCATGCTTCTCAGTACAGCCTCTCCAGTGGCACATGCATTTAGTAGACACATGCACTTAATAGACACTAGTCTATTGGGCAGTGGTGCTGCCGAGTCTTTTTCTGGAATTCCCATTTAATCTTTACCATCTCATTTTTTGCTGAATGACTATGTTATATCCCTTTTTTGTGACAGGCTCACGAGTCACTCTGCCATTCCCAGTAACACATTTCTTTCACCCTTGTGCTTTCTTTATGAGTGAATGGTTGCACTGTCCTACCGGACATTTCCTATGCTTCCTGGGAGAGAAATGACTACAACCTAAGTGATCACGAAATATTTGAAATTGGAACTGAGTTGAAATATCTATGCAAACCTGGCTATAGACCTGTTTTAGATGAGCCTCTGACTGTGACTTGTCAGGAAAATTTGACATGGACATCTTCCAATGAGTGTGAGAGTAAGAAGACTTGAACTTTGTTTTGTGTATATATGTGTGTGTATCTTCTTTGATATTGAAAATGTTGAGCACAATCCTTGAAATTTGCTGAGACTTGCTTCACTTCATAGCATATAGTTAATTTTTATAAATGTTCTGTGTGCACTTGAAAAGATGCATATTTTGCAGTTGTTGGGTGCAATGTTACATATACATCAATTAGATCTAATTTTAATGGTTTTGTTCAAATCTATTTCCATATTTATATTTATTTCTTGTCTACTTGTTCTCTCGGTTACTAAAAAAGTTTTGTTTGTCTTTTATCTTTTCAGAGTTTTTGTTTGTTTGCTTGCTTGCTTGTTTTGAGACAGGGTCTTGCTCTGTCACCCAGGCTGGAATGCAGTGGCATGATCTCGGCTGGATGCAGCCTCAACTTCCCGGGCTCGAGCCATCCTCCTGACTCAGTAGCTGGGACTACAAGTATACACCACCACACCTGGCTCATTTTTGTATTCTTTGTAAAGATGGGGTTTTGTCATGTTGTCCAGACTGGTCTCAAACTCCTGGACTCAAGAAATTCACTCACCTCGGCCTCCCAAAGTGCTGGGATTACTGGTGTGAGCCACCACACGTGGCCATCTTTTTAGTTTTTTCAAATCATTTTTTGCTTTGTATATTTTGAGACTACATTGCTAGATGCATACAAATTTAGAATGATATATTTTCCTGATAAATTTCACTTTTTATCATTATAAAATGACTCTATTACTATAACTGTTTTATCTTTAAAATTCTACTTTTACATTAATATAGTTCTGACATCTTTATCTGAGTTAGTGTTTACATGGTTTATCCTCTTTTAGTCTTTTGTTTTTGTACTTTCTGTAATTGTATATTTTAAGTGTATCTTGGAAGCAGGATAGAGTTGGATATTTTAATCCTACTTGACAATTTTCATTATTTAATTAGAGCACTTGTCAGTGTACAGTTAGTGTAATAATTAATATAATTGAATTTATATCTACCATCTATTTGCTATATACGTTTTTTGTTTTACATTCTTTTTTTTCCCTCCTTTTGAATTGATTTTAAATTTTTTTCCATTTTTTTTACCTGGTATTTACTTGGTATTTATTTACTTTTAGCTCTTTTTATGATGTTTATACATAATTTACTACTTTTGCCTCTTCCCAGGCAATGAAAAGCCTTAGAAACCTTTAACTTGATTTATCCTGCCTGACTTATATGATTTTATTTTTCAATTCTAAATGTGTCTTAAACTCTGCATTATTATTATCATTATTACTATTGCATTATTATCTTAGTAAATCCAATTAGTTTAGATTTGTTCACATAATTACTATTTTATTCTCTTCTGATTCTTCAGTCATATCTGTTATCCCTTTCTTTTGCTTCATAAATACTCTCTAGTTTCTTTTAGTGAGAACCTGTTGATGATAAATTTCTCTCTTTGTTTTTCTCAATGTGCCTTTATTTCACCTTAATATTTGAAGATATATTTGCTGGATATAAACTTCTAGATTGGCAATTGTTTTCCGTGGTCATGTGAAAGATTTCATTCCACGGTCTTCTGCCTTTAATTGTTTCTGTCAAGAATTTTGCTATTAGTCATACTGTTGATCATGTGAAGGTTTTCTATTTTTTCTGATTGCTTTTAAGATGTTCTTGCCTTTTTTTTGTGGCAGTTTTTGTCTGATATGTCTGGGTTGGTTTCTTTGTGTTTACCCTTTTTGAGATTTAGGATATTTCTATAATATGAGGTTTGATGCCTTTCACTGATTTTGGAAAAATTTTCAACTTCAAATACTTCAATATTATAAATAAGTATTTTCTTTGAGTACAATTTCAGCCCTATTTTCACTCTTCTACTGATACTTTGGCTACATTTATGTTAAGCTTTTATACTGAATCTTCTATATTTCCTGTGCTCTTACCTGTGTTTTTACTTTTTGTTTCTCAGTATTTTACTATGAATATAAATTAAGTTCACTAATTCTCTCTTCATTGATGTATTATCTGATATTAATTATGAGTTGAATTCTTAACTTTATTGTTTTTTCACTTTCAAGATTCCCATTTGTAGTGGATTTGTAGTATTGATATTGATTTTTCTACCAAAATTCTCAATGATGTATTTTATTTCCTTCTACATAACAAAGCAAAGTGGCTTTTAAGTCAATGTTTAGAACTTCATTTTCTGGATCCTCTCAGATCTGTTAGCATTGTCTCTTGCTTTCTTTGGCTTTTTAATAACCTTGTCTGGTCTCCTGTTTGCTTGTGGCAGGTAGTAAGGGGCATTAAGGGCTTTGAATGACCCAAATCCAATCAGGGAATGTAATGATACAAGCCTGGGCTTCAATACTTATTATAGATAGTTGGTCTATTTTTGGTTTATTCTTACTTCAAGGTATAGTTCTAAAGATTCCCAAGAGCTGTGGGTTACCAGCAATCAATCCCCACTACCACACACACATTGAGTTCTGATCAGCTTCTTAGCCACTAAGTTGTATCTTGGGGGAGGAGAATTATTGTATACTTCTAGATATATATAAAAAAGCAGCTCTACATTCCTGGTACACCTCATTGGGTATCTTTCTTTCTCATTAAAAGAACAACTAAGACAATTAAGGTCTTAGCACCTGAATTCTTTCTTCATGGATTAACTGCCCCCACTCCCCACCATGTTTTTCTACTTGTTATCAAAGAGAAGGTGAATCTAAATTGCTTAGCTCATTACTGCCAAAATCAACACTTTGTTTTAAGGACTTCTAATGAAGAAACACGGTTGGAGGGAAATTAAGTAATAGCACTTCAACCAAACAATGGCAGAATTTGGAGAAGATGCTTGGTCTAACTCTTCCCTCAACTTCTTTGTTTCTTTCTTTCTCTTTCTCTCTTTAAATTTTGGCAAAAGCACTTAACATGAGATCTACCCTTTCAATAAGTTTTTCAGTGTATAATATAGTACTGTTAATTATAGGCACTATTTGTACAGCAGATTTCTAGAACTTATTAATCTTGCACAACTGAAACTTTATACCTGTTGAACAACTGGGGAGTTGTTTCCCCTCCCTCCTCCAGCCTCTGGCACCCACCATTCTACTCTCTGCTTCTATGAGTTTGCCTTCAGATATTAACATCTTCTATAAGGTGGAATCAGGTCTTCAGCCAAAGGTGTGTCCCCCTGATTGATTTACTAAATGTGAACAACATTTAAAAATTTTTAAAAAAATTTTTGTGAGTACATAGTAGTTGTATATATTTATGGGGTACATGAGATATTTTGATACAGACATGTAATGTTGAACATTTTTTAATCCATCAGGGGTATGTTGCCCAACACCAGATCTGGAGAATATCAGAATCATAAATGAAAGGAGGTATTTCACTGGTAGATGTGTCTATGCCTATGGAGACTATATTTCATATATGTGTGATGAAGGCTATTACCCTATTTCTGTTGACGGGGAGAGTTCCTGCCACACAGATGGCACATGGAAGCCTAAAATGCCAGCATGTGAGCCAGGTAAGAATATTGAGAGAACCTGTCATAATCATTTCCTAGATTCCCCAAATGATTCCACTTGGTTCCACAAAAGATCGAAGTACTTAAAACTAACTGAATTTGAGGTTGTTCCTGCAAGAAGCATTGTGCAAAAAGGATCACAGATACACATCACTAGCACCATGCAAGGCAGCTATAGAACAAAATATGTTGGAAGACAAACTTACAGGAGAAATTTTCTTTTAAGAGAAAACAGTAGAATTGATGAAGTCTTTCAGTCTCATTTTGTCATTTTCCTGCATGTGTACTGATGTTTTAGTAAAGAGGGACACTACCTCACAATGCTCCATATTTATAAGTCAAGGGAGAAAACATGATTTACATATTGTGTAACAATGGAAGCTCCAGGTTGAAGAAGTGCTCTGTTAGGGAGAGTCTTGAAGCCTAGTGGCTGACGGTGTCAGCCTTTTCTTTCCTTGCTTTAACTCAGACCTACTGAACCACCTCTCTGTTGAAATACCACGAAGGAGAAGAAATAAGCATCTAAGGTGATAAACATCTGTCTCTTATCAGGATAAGACACTGAAAATGTTATTATTATGGAAGTATCTTCATTATGAAAGACTCTTCACATCAACACGATGGTGATTACTCGGTACTATAGTTTGGGTTTCTCTAAAAGCAAAGCTTGAGAAAATGACTTGGGAGCCAGTAGTTTATTTTGGAGGTGATTCTAGGAGGTAGGAGTCAGGGATGAGGGAGAGACAAGGGGAATCAGCAAAGGTGACTATTATGAGCAGCAGCGGCTCAATTCTTTGGGACCACAGAGAAGTGTAAGGAATGCCTTTCATAATTATCTGTCTGAAGGATGGGAGACTGGGACATTTATCCAATACTTTCTGTTGCTCATTGGTTTAGGGTTGCCCTAAAGGGCAGTAACCGCTTCAGTAATTTAGTCAGTAACTGAGCCTCAATTGCAACTGTGCTCTTTCAGCTGCAAAGGAGGCTCCAAAGTAAGACTGACAGATTCACATTGAATGCTTTCTGTAGAACATCATCAGTGTAAATCTGAGCTTGTGTAAAATTATATATTTCATCTGCGACTGTAGTCAGAAGTCCAAAGGGACATGGCATGGGTACAAAGCATTTGTTACAATATATCCTTTGCACCACTCGATTTGTTTATGTCCCATTAATTAAACTCTATTAATCTTAAGTAATCTACTGCTAACAAGTGTTATAAAAGGAAAGAACAGACATTGTTTATTGGAATAATCAAACAAAGCTTCATGGAGAAGTGGGACTTGAGATAACAATTAGAGAAGGTAAGCAGATGCTAATAAAGGGGAGTCCCAGGAGGAAATATTAATATATAGAAGTGGAAATGTACATGACAAGTTTAGGGAAGGAGGAGTTGACTAGTTTGGTTAAACAGAAATAGTGCTAGATGGGGCCCAGTGCGGTGGCTCATGCCTGTAATCCCGGCACTTTGGGAGACTGAGGTGAGCGGATCACCTGAGGTCACGATTCGAGACCAGCCTGGCCAATGTGGTGAAACCCCATCTCTACTAAAAATACAAAAATTAGCCGGGTGTGGTGGCGCATGCCTGTAATAGTAGCTACTTGGGAGGCTGAGGCACGAGAATTGCTTTAACTTGGGAGGCAGAGGTTGCAGTGAGCCAAGACCATGCCACTTCACTCCAGCCTGGGTGACAGAGTGAGACTCCATCTCAAAAGAAAAAAAAAGAAAAAAAAAATGGTGCTAGATGAATTTGAAGGATCTATGAAAAAGGCCAATAGAGGTATTTTTATTTTTTCATATGTCCATGGTTTGTTAAAGATGCTGATTATTTTATTTTTAGAAAATAGAGCATTTTAAAATCCCTGTCGCTTAGTTTTAATCTTCGGAGGCAATCATCCTTCAACACAGGACTTCCTTTGACATTCTCAGGGCTCTAAATTTGTTGCAATTTTTCATTCAAGAGTTCCTGAAACTTGAAAGTTCCCTTCTAGTATGACTACCCCAGCATTTCATATTACTTATGTCAACACTGAAATCATTGTTTAAATTGTAAGATATGGTAATTATGTTCTTATGGTATTGTAGTTATGGACAAGATTGTTTGGGGATCCTGCAGTTATTCAGGGCCTTTACAACTATTCCTTTACTTTGCCTTACTTCTATTGAGAATGATTTTCATTTAATATGACTCTCTATGGTTGAATTCATGCTTTCGTACCAAAGCTCATTTAATTTCCCTAAGCAGTGAAATATTTTAGTGATCATGTACACAAAAACCAAGAAAGGTCCTACAAAATGGAGAATTCTCTCAACCCAAGAGTTGCTTTCATTCACATCAAGCTTTTCTCTAGATTCTCAGCCTGAAAGCAGTAGAAATGTTGAGTTGCGTCAAGTTACCCTATGGAAAAAGGATTTGGATGGGAACATTTGAATCTCCTACAGATCATTCAGATTTGGGGAGATTAATCTGAAACTATGAGTTCATGCTCTTCTCTCTCTCTCATCATCCAAGTTTGCAGTTACCCTCCCAGTATTGCCCATGGACACTACAAGGAAGTTATTTTAATAACTCCTTATCCTGAGGCTACATATGAATGTGATGAAGGATATGTTTTGGCTGGATTTGCTACAATCTACTGCAAGTCTTTTCACTGGCAACTTGCACCTCCTCAATGTAAAGGTAACTCCAACTCAACTCATAATCCATAGAAGATAGAATTAGAAAACATTAATGGCAATGTTTCCTATTAATCAAAGGCAGCATAAATTTTGTCTTTATTTATTTATTCATACTATTTAAATTATGCCTGATATATTTTAAAAAGTAATTGACAGGTATATTGAAAATGAACTTTACTTCCTACTCCAGTCTTCCAAAAGCATAGCTTGCCCTATGTTCAGAGAGAACCACTACTACCAGGTTCTTATATGTCTTTCCAGAATATGTTGAGACAGTATCTTTTACCTGAGAATACCTTTGTGGCTCTAGTTTTCATGAGAATCCTAAGTTAATTTCAACTACTCAAGAAAGAGGAATCTCAAGTGTTAATTCCCAAATTCTGAAGTGTTGGAAATCTCCACAAAAACTTCATGATGGTCACCATTTCCCCATGATATTTACATTTCCACTTTTGATTACCTGATGGTGGTGCTGTTGGTAAACCTGCTGTAGAAACAAGATGAATCAAGTAAGGCTCTGTCTCTTGATTGTGCTTGGAGCTTTCATCATTCTGCTAATAATCACCACTGGCTCTGTTTAACCCAGGAAGATGATGAAGCAAGAACAATGGAAAGTACATATCAAGAATCCACAAATCAAGGCTGTGGGGTGCAGCAATTGAGAGCACCAATTCTTACCACTTATAAGCTATGTGATACTGAGGAAATATTTAACTTTTCAGTTTCCTTGCTGGTAAAATTGTGATAATAATAGTATCTAACTCATAGATTGGTAGCAAGGTTTAAATGAGATAAGTAAAAAATTTAGCACATAGATTGACATATAGTACTTGTTCAATAAATGCTAATTATTACTGTTATAATTATTATTAAAATAAAAGCATAGAACAACCTGCAGGACCAGAATATAATTGTGAATACAATTTTGTATCCTTTTTATTATCCAATGCTGTTATGATGACTTTTTTTGAGAAACAGTGTGATCAAAAATACATTTTCATTACAGCTCTGTGTCTGAAACCAGAAATAGTGAATGGAAGGCTGTCTGTGGATAAGGATCAGTATGTTGAGTCTGAAAATGTTACCATTGAATGTGATTCTGGCTATGGTGTGGTTGGTCTCAAAAGTATCACTTGCTCAGAGAAGAGAACCTGGTACCCAGAAGTGCCCAGGTGTGAGTGGGTAAGTGGCACAATTCAAGGAAGTTCTGTGCTACCAATCCCTAAAAATAGTGGCCTCTTCCAAGGTTCTGTTCCGGTTAGCAATGGGGAGATCTGACTTTTGTCAGGAAGCATAAGTAACTTACCACAATTAGCACTTCCAAACTTGCATGGTGATAAGCCAAGAGAGACACATTTTCCTGCTCTGTGTCTAGAGCCCAAATCTCTAGACTTGAGAGTCTATTGACCCAGATGTCCTGACCCCTAGCTCTACATTTTCTACAATAAATGTTGTGCATTTGTTCCATTTCTGGTTGGTCCTCAGAACCATCCCTCAGTTGTCCGTGTGGATGTGCTTTGCATCTCCTTTGGAGCCCAGCATCTTTTTAGCTTCAGACTGCTTGGTTGCTGCTCAAGGACAGATCTGGGCTTGGCTTGCATGTGAACACTTGCTAGGATGCACGGTCTCTCCTGATTTCCTATTTGTTCCTCAGGTCAATCTCCCTTTTGCCAGTAATGACTCTCAGAATGTACTCCCATCTTTATAGCAGCATGATTTATATTCCTTTGGGTATATACCCAGTAATGGGATGGCTGGGTCAAATGGTATTTCTAGTTCTAGATCCCTGAGGAATCATTCTTAGCAAACTATCACAAGGACATAAAACAAAACACTGCATGTTCTCACTCATAGGTGGGAATTGAACAATAACACTTGGACACAGGAAGGGGAACATCAAACACCGGGGCTTGTTGTGGGGTGGTGGGAGGGGGTAGGGATAGCATTAGGAGATATACCTAATGTAAATGACGAGTTAATGGGTGCAGCACACCAACATGGCACATGTATACATATGTAACAAACCTGCACATTGTGCACATGTACCCTAGAACTTAAAGTATTAAAAAAAAAAAAGAATGTACTCCCATCCCCTACTCATTTCTTTAAATCACTTTTAGGAGGCACCTGAAGGTTGTGAGCAAGTGCTCACAGGCAGAAAACTCATGCAGTGTCTCCCAAGCCCAGAGGATGTGAAAGTGGCCCTGGAGGTGTATAAGCTGTCTCTGGAGATAAAACAACTTGAAAAAGAGAGAGACAAATTGATGAACACCCATCAGAAATTTTCTGAAAAAGAGGAAATGAAGGACTTATTTTTCCCTTCAAATCAACATACAGAATCTTCACTCATCCACCCTACTCTTCCTTGAGCACCATCACTCTCATAAGGGTCTGGGCTAGGAGAACTTTCTTATTACTGCCAGAGAAAAATGTGTAATTATTGGTAATCTAGCCTTTTGTAGCTCAAATGTCCAGTTTCCTGGACTTGAAGTGCTGGTTAATTAAATAATTATTTACCAAATATCAGTTTGTATTGTCATCTTGGTCAATATGTTGCATAAATATGATACACTCCAGTACACAAATCCACTGCCTAAAGTTTCTGTAATTAACTTTGCCTCACCTTTTTCGTACCTCAGAAAGAATGGAAGCCAGGAAATTCAAACCATGTTCATACCATAATCTTTATCTGAATGCCTTTACTCTGAATCCCACATGTGCCTACCCTTAACCTACAGAAAAGGATACAAAACTCAAAGGATTTTCTGTAACATTACAGACAAAACCATTGTCTGTTTGATGGCCCCTGCCCATTAGTAACTCATCGCTTTACCCCTGCACAGAATTCCACTCTTCTCACTTTTAACAGCACTTTTAACAGATTGGGCTTGCATGCTGCTCAACTTTATAGAAATGGAATCATCCATTATGCACTCCTTCATATATGTTTTTTCCTTTAAATATTATATTTGTGAGATTCATCCATGTTATACATAGCTGAGGTTCATTTATTTTCATTTCTATTTAGTATTCCACCAGTGTATGCATATATCACAATTAACTTATCTATCCTATTGTTGATGAACATTTGGGTTAGTTTTAGTTTTTTGGCTATCATGAATAGTGCTGCTACAAATATTTTTGCAAATGCCTTTTGCTGAATATTGACATTTTTTTCTCCGCATATACCTGAGGATGGGATTGCTGGCTTATAAGGTGTGTGTATGTGTTTGTTCAGTTTTCCAAAGCTGTTATAGCAAAACACACTCCTGCAGAACATGGAACACTTGCTATTGTTAATTGTTCTTTTTTTTTTTTTTTTGAGAAATTCTGTTGGGTATCACATTGTGCTTTAAATTTGTTGTTCCCCAGTGATTAGTGAGGTTGAATTACTTTTCATATGTTTATTGACCATTTAGATATTCCTTTTCTGTGAAGTTCTAGTTCAAGTCATTTACTCATTTTTCTATTGGATGATTTACCTAGTTCTAATTTAGTTGTAGGAGTTTTTAATATATTCTGGACAAAAGTCCTTTATGAGATATGTATTGCAAATATCTTTTTCCTGATCTATGGCCTGGCTTTTTTTACTTTTATAAAGTTATGTGTTTTATAAACATAAATTCCTAATTTTAATGTAGTACAATATATCAAGTGCTTCCTTTTTGATTAGAGTTTTGTATCCCATTTAAGAAATCTATGCCTACCCCCAAATCTTTGCCCATGTTTTCTTTTAAGATATTTAGAATTTTACTTTCACACCTAGAACTATGATCCACCCATAACTGCTATCGTGTAAGGTAAAGGACCAAGATTCATTTTTTTCCATATGGACATACAATTAATCTGGTATAATTTATTAAAAAGACCATCCTTTCTCCCATTGCTCTGTAGTGTCACTTTGTCATAAGCCAATTAGCTATGCATATTTGATGTTTGTTCTTGAGTCACAGTTGTTAGCCCTTGGTCTGTTTGGCTATCTTACGCCAATACCACAATGTCTTCTTTACTACAGCTTCATAATGAGCCTTAATATCTGGCAATGTGGGTCCTTCTCCTATTCCTCCTCCACCGCCTCTTTAGATTACATTGACAACTTTGCTCCTTTGCACTTAAATGAATTTTAAAATCAGCTTGTCAATTTTCACCAAAATTCTTTTGAAATTTTTATTAGAATGCATTTGATTGATGTATGAATTTGGGAGGAATTGATATCTATACAACATTGTGCCTTCTAATCCATAAACATGGTATTTTCCTACATTTATTTATATCTTTTATTTATCTCTAGCTTTCAGTGAAGAGCTCTTATACATCTCTCATTGAACTTACCTCTAGGCACCTGGCATTTTAAGTTTTACATTTATACAAAAATCTTTTTATATAATTTTTGGACAGTAGATAATTGTTTTTGATTGTTGATATTTTATTTGATAATCAGCTAATTCTAATTAATTTTTTATATGTCTTTGGCTTTTTAAAATTCCTAATTATGTCACCTGTGAGAAATAACAGTTTGCCTTCCTTCCCCCTCCTACCATTTATCTATCTATCTATCTATCTATCTATCTATCTATCTATCTATCTATATATCTGCCTGCCTTCCTATCTATCTATTTACTTAGCTAACATTCTATTCCCATGAATGGGACCGCAATTCAACGTACAATGGAAGTGAATATAGCAATTGTTCACGTCTTCTTATTGATCTCAAGAGAAAAACTTTTAATGGCTCACTATTATGTAGTATATCTATGGCCATACCACCCTGAACATGCTCGATCTTGTCTGATTGAGAAAGTTTCTTTTCATTCCTAATTTTCTAAGAGGTTTCCATTTTTATCATAAATTGTTGTTGAATTTTATCAAGTATGTTTTCTGCATCTAGCGAAGTTATCAAAAACATTTTTTCTGTTAATGTAGAGGATGCTGTAATGTTATTTGTTGCTGCATAATAAATTACCCCAAAACTTGCTTAGTGGCTTAAAATGGTAACATTTACTTTGTTCATAAATCTGCAGTCTGGGCAGAACTTTGTGGAGGTTGACTTTGCTCTACTCAGCATCAGTAGAGGTGTCTCATAGACTGGGAGCTGGAATCATCTAAAGATTTGCTTACTCACATGTCTGGTATCTGAGCTGGGAAGACTTAACAAGCTGAGGGCTAGAACAACTGGGACTCCTCAGGCATCTCTGCCTTTATGTGATATCTGCCCTTTGGTTTACTAGTCTGGCCACTTCAGAATAGCTCCAACTATCAACTACTATTTTAGGAAATATATCATATCCTGGCTGGGTATAGTATCCCACGCCTGTAATCCCAGCACTTTGGGAGGCCAAGGTGGGTGGATCTCTTGAGGCCAGGAGTTCAAGACGAGTCTGACCAACGTGGTGAAACCCCATCTCTACTACAAATACAAAAATTAGCTAGGGATGGTGGTGCATGCCTGTAATCCTAGCTACTTGGGAGGCTGAGGCACGAGACTTGCTTGAACTTGGGAGGTGGAAGTTGCAGTGAGCTGAGATTGTGCCACTGCACTCCAGCCTGGGTGACAGAGCAAGACTCTGTCTCAAAAGAAAAGAAAAGAAAAGAAAAGAAAAGAAAAGAAAAGAAAAGAAAAGAAAAGGAAAGAAAAGAAAAGGAAAGGAAAGAAAAGAAAAGAAAAGAAAAGAAAAGAAAAGAAAATATACCATATGCTATAGGTCTATACTCCAAGTTCATAAGGCATTCTTTCTTAGCTTCTTGGGCATTCAGTATACCATTGCACTCTTTCATAATGTCAGCTGCTTCTGTGATGGAATACCACATAGGACCAGTGAATCTCAGGAACATCATTTCATTGACTTATATTATTTCATCATCAAGTGAATTCCTTGATCAGAAGTAATAATGTATGTCCTCCCATAACAGCAAATAAAGCATTTAGCAAGTCCGCAGATGGTATGGCTGCAAGAAGCCTTGCCATAGGGATGATAAATCCAAATCCATTCAAGAATCTACTGCTGCAGAGGCAAATCACTGTATCTTCCATGATAGGAACCCAAGTGATTGGCTGGCCTCCCTTGGATATGGTACCAAGATGGATGTTGGTAGATATAAATGCCAGCTTTCTTAATCCACAGGTAGGCAATCTCTGAGGCATGTTCTACACTCTCTACCTGAGGTTCCTTAAGGGGTTTAGCTTCAGTAAACCACAAAGGTAACTTGCTCGCCAATGTAAACTGTATTTATTTTCTTCTCTCCCATTTTTACATCCTTATTCCTTTAATGGTGTATTCTAGGATCTCATAAATTTCATAAAGTTCTTCCCAAGGACTGCATCTTGGTGGGCTAAGGCAAGTTCTTTTACATTCACATATTTTGTTCATTCAGTAGGGGTTGATATGGTTTGGCTGTGTCCCCACCCAAATCTCATCTTGAATTGTAGCTCCCATAGTTCCCATGTGTTGTGGGAGGGACCTGGTGGGAGATAATTGAATCATAGGGGTGGTTTCCCCCATACTGTTCTCATGGTAGTAAATAAGTCTCATGAGAGCTGATAGTTTTATAAGGGGAAACCCCTTTTGTTTGGTTTTCATTTCTCTCTTGCCTGCCACCATGTAAGACATGACTTTCACCTTCTGCCATGATTGTGAGGCTCCCCCCAGCCACATGGAACTGGGAGTCCATTAAATCTCTTTTTCTTTATAAATTACCCAATCTCTGGTATTATCAGCACCATGAAAATGGACTGATACAGGTGTTAATATGATTATTTCATGGTGAGTTGAGCTATAGGAGTAAGGTTTTATACCTCATTATTGTCAACCCAATTTCTGCTTTTCTTGTCCTTTATTTAAGACAATAAATTCCTATTTTTTTGCACTTTATTTTTTCCATTACTGCACGAGCTTAAAATATCTCTACTGGAAATATCATAGAGACCATTCTAATTCCAAGCTCTTCTTTAAACATATGTGGAGATGAAGGCCTGGGTCACAGTCTCATGACTAAGCCACATGATTCTTGGTAGGTTATATGAGGATTTGGTCTCCTGATAAAATGGGCAGTTCAGAGTCTTTTCCACCATAGTAAAAGCAGAAAGTCCTTAGGCATACTCTCCTAAGTGATAGGCACAGAGTTCCACATAAAAAAGCTTAGTCTGATTTCATTAAATGCAATTAGTTTGACATAGTGAAAAGAGCTTGGGATTTGAATCAGACTTGGATTCAGAATCTGATTTTGCCACTGATCAGAAAAATTTAGAAAAGTATACTCAGTCTTTCCGAATAAGTTTCCTCTATAAAATATGTCTACTAATATCCATGTTATAGGTTTGCTTTAAGAAATTAAATGCAATAATTTATGTAAAAGTTTGGAACATGTTTAATAAGCAGAAGCTGTTTCTTAAAAACAATATTCTACTTAACTATTTAAATGACCTCTTCTATCTACATAGTCAGATTTTATTTTAGTTCCTGTTTATCAGATGAATCAAACCACATGATGGGTTCATTTGTTTTCCTTTCTTTCTAGGAAGGTTGAAATTCAATTGTGCTGTCAGCAATATTTACAAAGAACTCCACCCATTTATTTCTGGGAAATGTTCCTCTTTATTTTTGAGAGTTAAGCACTTTGGTTGTTATGTGCCTATTATACTCATTACCACTCAGCTTGGTGTTAAAGGTCATTTTTGGATATTTTTTCAGCGTTCATTGTCCTCTGTGGATGAATATTTGTGTATACTCAAGTAACAAATATACATAGCTTCTCCAAGGGGCAAAATATGAAATCCAAGCTGTTATCTTCACCTTTTCACTTCATGGAGACTAAAAGAAATAATTCAGGCATATGACTTAGGTAGTTATTAATGGACCAGTCTTAACCCAGATAGTTATTAATAAACTAAGTCCTAGGTTTAGCAAATACAACTTATTGTTAACGTTTTACAACTTATCTTTTTGCGCTTTTGTCAGAGATATAATACTGGAAGGGAAGGGCCTCTACTTGGATCCAGCACCACTGAAAAGTTCTTAAAGTCATCATGATCCTTTCTATATTTATAATGCTTCATCCTCTACCATTTAATTTTTCACACAGGCTTTATCTGTGCTGTACACACCACTCTGAGAAACTTTCCTTTACTTTCCAATTAGTGTGGATGAATAATTTGATATCATAGATACATCGAGAAAACATAAATATTGAGGGAGTAATTGTTTGAACTATATTTTTGGATTTTTTTTTACAATTATAAACTTGCATGCATTCTCTATTCCACTTAGGCTGTGGAGTGTTTAGGAAGAACATTTAACTATAGATTTTTTGAAATTTTTTCCTGCCTATTGGGAGATCACAGTAGTGACTGAAGATCTGACACCTCTGGGAGATGGTGTAAAACATGTCTCAGCATCTCACCCTGATACCTGAAGAACATGACACACATCTAAACTGTGCCTTGATTACTTGGAAATAAATGATGTATATACGTAGACAACAAGCAATCAAGTGCCCCTGATAACAAGGGAAAGAAAGACAGTGAGAAAGTCTTGTGGTAATGAGTATAAATATCCACCAAATCCCAGAACTCTCATGTCCAGCTCATATTGTTCCCCCAAGATCTGGAGCTTTATTGGATTGCTCCCTATTGGTCTTGTCCTGAACCTGATCTACCCAACTCTGCCCTGCCCTTCAGTGACTCAAAGCTGTGGCCTTCCCAAGACTTAGTTTCTTGGTTCAGGCATCAATTTACTAGAGATTTGGAGCACCAACTTTCATCTGATTTAGGGTGTCTGAGAATGCTGAGCCAAGTGCTGTGTCTGAGATTCTGCACAATGCCTCCCAAGTTGCAGGGAATCTTCCCAGCACTGCCTCCCCAGGGTCCTGTCTCTTCTGTGGTTTCTAGCTGTCCTGTGTGGTGAGTACTGAGGTTATGGGGAAGAAGAGAACAAGAGGGGTAGTTTAAATCAAGATATGGTGAAGAATTCCTGGTTAAAAATTAGTGCAGTATGATCAAATGGTAATAATTTGGTATAATTTTGGAGAAATACAATGAAGTACATTATTAAGAAATATATTTAAATAGTTTTAGTTCTTTTGACATAATCTTTAGTTATTTGGAAAGCAAAATATTATATAAATCTTTGAGAAGCTGATCTAACAAAAACCTTTAGTTTTTATATTAATGTATGTTACATAAAATTATGTTTAAATGGATACTGTCAAATAATTTAAAATTAGCTATTCTAAAGGGTTGATTTTTTTCTATTGCATTAATAATTGAGAAGATTTTTGTCATTTAGAAAGGAAAATTTTATGTTGTTACAAATAATGAGTGCATTTACTAAAGTAAAATTATAAAGCATTGAGTAAACTGAAAACATTATATAGGATGTAAGGTATTTTATTGTAATTTAGGGAATAATTCTACCTTACCAAGAGCACTGAAAGAGTCTGTGAGAACTTGTAGGTCCCACTAGCGTAGTGCTGGCTATACATGCAGATGTAATTGTTTTAATTTATAAATTAAGAATGCTAATAAAAAGTAATTTTTTTCTTCTGATATGATTTCTTTTTTAAAAGAAAACTTTCCTAAAAGTATTAAAAAATATTTTTACACACATCCCTTATGCCATCTATCAGAACACTTAAAGTAGAGCATTTGCATAGAATTTCAAAATCACTCAACAGAGAAGAAAATATTTCACCAATAGCTATGTCCATCTCTATGGTGACCATATTTCATATTCATGTGCTGTCAGGGATTTTCCCAGTTCTGAAGATAGAAAGATTTTATGCTGATCAGAGAGAATGTGGTGTCCCACAATGCCATTCTGTCAACCTGGCAAAAGCATTGAGATAATTTGTCAAGATTAATTTATCTTTTTCTTTTTTAAATTTCAATAGTCTTTTGGGGAACAGGGGTTTGGTTACATGAATAAGTTCTTTAGTGGTGATTTCTGAGATTTTGGTGCACCCATCACCTGAGCAGTGTACACTGTACCCAATGTGTAGTCTTTTATGTCCAGATTAATTTCTAGTGCCCCAGAATGATGCCATGTTGTTCATCCTTTGAACTTTCTTAATATCACAAGGTGACTTCTGAATTTCTTCTAAGGAGAATTTTAAAATGTTTTACTTTGGAAGAGGTCTCTTTTTATTTTTAATCAAAATAATGGATATTTTAAGGGAAACTCTAAGGTTAAATGAATTCCTTTATCCCGGGTTATTCTTCTTTCCTGGAAAATGAAATGGCTAAATTTGTGATTCTTCCAAAGCCATACTCCACTCCAACCCTCTTACTGTTTTCCCTGGGCACCGTTACCGTGACCTTCCAGGTCTCCTCTTGTTTCTGAGGCAGTGAAGGTAGACTATGTCTAACAGGTCACAGAGAGTTGTTCCTCCGGGTTTCTCCATATTTATCCCCTGTTCTTCTAGTTCCTCAAAATCCTACTTTGCCTGCAGTGTCACTTATGCCCAAATCTTTCACAATCTGGTTTCTAAGTTTGCCTCTTTTTCTTCTGTCAATAAAAACTTTCTGCTGCCTTTAAGCCTTTGCCTAAACCATTACTCTAACATGAAAAGCCTACCCACATCTCACCCATTTAAGCAGATTTTAATCTAAACTTCAAAATATATATTTCAAATCTCCTCCAAGAAATGTTGTCTTATCCTTTTCTGTGTTGGTTCTCTCTCGTTCCTTCTTTCTTATTATACCCTTCTTGCTGGCTTCCCTTGTCTTTGGATATTACCATAAGCTGACTGGTATTATGGTTTTGCTATTCATGTGGTTATGACTTATTTTCCTTACAGTATCCAAAGATGTGCCTTGATGTCTGCTGAACAGTCTTATGGGGGTGAATTCACATAAGTGTTTGCTGGACTCATCATAAAAAGACTTTTCCTAATAATGCGTTTGATCTGAGGCTCAGGACATTTCATTTGTGAGCCCTAGACTTATACATAGGTGAACATTTATTTTGAACCTATCATGTCAAAAAGACACAAAGATACTTGAGACATGTTCTCTACTGTCAAAACAGAAAGAAATTATTAATAAGGAGAGTATAACTCAGTTGTTAAATAGCAGATAGACAGTATAGACTGAAGCCATAGAGGATGTGAACTTTTGAGCAAAATAGACCTCAGTTCCAACTCTGTTTCTGTCACTCAGTAGCTGCTTAACATAGAGCAAAGTTCTTCTCCATGGAGATGTTTTCTTCTTTAAAAGGTAGGGAAGATGATAATGAGTATCTGTTAGGGGTATTGTGATCATTGGATGATATAATATATATAAGGTGTTTCAATTATGAATATATTATGTCTGTAGTATCATAGTATATACGCTATATGTAGCATACATATACTATGTAGGACATATACAGTGTCATAGAATACATAGTATTCATACTATACATGTATATATATAAAAGATAAGTAATATACATACTATACATTCATATATATAAAATGTGTGATATATGCAATGTAGTATAGACTATAGTAAGATCTCAGCAAGCAGTTGGATATGATATATAATCTCTTCCTAATAACTGCTATAGGAGCTTAGAGAAATAAATGACGACTGCTTGCTGGAGAAGTAAAGAGAAGTCTTCACACAGAGCATTTGGCACTTGAGCAGCAAGGAGAAAAGAAAGGATGGCATTCTAGGTAGGAGAGATGATATGAGCACAGGTACCCCTGTGAAAATGTGTATGATGTATTTGGGGACCAATGGCTAGGTGGATTAGTCTATAAAGAGGACGAATTAAAAAATAGTGATGATTAAGGTTGAAGGATCCATGAGAAAGGCCAGGAGAGGGTTTTCTAAATACCCATGTGTAGATCAATGTTTTAAATTCTTATTCCCAGTAAATAACAATTTGGAAGGCATTATTACTTGGTTTCAGCCTTAAGAGAAAATTCTTACCTTGGCATGGTACTTTGTCTGACATTCCTGCTGCTCTATTCTGTTCAACTTCCTCATGCAGTGTTTGTGGACCCTGACAGTGTTTCTTTTCAGTGAAGTGCTCTGTGCCATGTCCTATTTATTTCAATGTGCAAGTCCCCATTTTTATTATTTCTATGAGTCATTTTCTAAAATATCTTAAAATGCAGTAAGTATATTCTTGGTGAGGATGAATAAACAGTTTTTTTTTCTAATTTTGTTTTAGTTGCAGGGGTACATGTGCAGGTTTGTTATATAGGTAAATTGCATATGGGGGTTTGGTGGACACATTATTTTATTGCCCAGGTAATAAGCACAGTACCTGATGGGCAGATTTTTTATCTTCTCCCTCCTCCTATCCTTCACCCTCAAGTAGGATCTGGTGTCCATTGTTTCCTTCTTTGTGTCCACATGTACTCAATGTTTAGCTTCCATTTATAAGTGAGAACATGCAGTATTTGGTATTCCATTCCTACATTAGTTCACTTATAGCAATGGCCTCTAGCTCCATTCATGTTGCTGCAAAGGACATGATTTCATTCTTTTTATGCCTGCATAGTATTTCATGGTGTATATGTACCATATTTTCTTTATCCAGTCTACTGTTGATGGTCATTTAGGTTGATTTCATATCTTTGCTATTGTGAATAGTGCCGCAGTGAACATACGCATGCATGTGTCTTTATGGTAGAACAATTTATATTCCTTTGGGTATATACCCCATAATGGGATTGCTGAGTCAAATGGTAGTTTTGTTTTAAGTACTTTTGGAAATCATCAAGCTGTTTTCACAGTGGCTGAACTAATTTACATTCCCACTAGCAATATAAGTGTTCCCTTTTCTCTGCATCCTCACCAGAATCTGTTATTTTTTGACTTTTTAATAATAACCCGAATGGACAGTTTTGATTGGGGAGCAATGACTCAGGGATTGTGGATGATGTAACTTTCTCACAGTTTCTCACAGATGCACATCTCTGCATTTAGCTTGCAAGGGACTAAGGGTAGCATGAGTATAATATGACTTTAGGCTGAATCCAGCCTTCATGCCAAAATGGTTCCTAAACAATGTCAAGTTGAGTGAGCTTGTTAGTAAGATGGTGGAAAATGTAAGGTCTATAACTTGAGCCTTTCTACAGTTCCTCAGCCTGAGGCTGACAGGATGGCCACACAAGTATGAAGGTTTAGCCAAGTGATTTTATGGGCAGAGAGGATGGAAGGACAGAATAAAGCCTCCTACAAATAACATGCATTCTGGGATGTGCTATTTTGTACATTCTATAACCTCGTGCTCTGTCACGTTTGTATCTCACCATCAAATTGCAGTTTTGCCCCTAGTTTTGCCCATGGGCATCCTAAACAAGTTAATTTATGCAACTGTTTCAAAAATGAGGCTGTATATAAATGTGATGAAGGCTACACTGTGATCGGACAGGTGAAACTCACCTGCATTTCTTCCTGCTGGTCATCTCCAGCCCCTCAATGTAAAAGTAACTCCAGCTCCCTTTTCAGTCCATGACTACGTGGGTGGAACTGTCATTAGAGCACTGAGAGCAAAGTTTCTCCTCTGCTAGAGGCAGCACAAAAACATTCTATTTGATTTATTTTAAATAATTAATATATGGAGATGATACCCAATGCAAAAACTACAAAGGACATCCAGCACCTATATTTCATTTAGGAGTCCCTGAGCAAGCACTCCCAGGCAGAAAACTCATGCAGTGTCTCCCAAACCCAGACAATGTGAAAATGGCGCTGGAGGTGTATAAGCTGTCTCCAGAGATTGACCTACTGGAACTAGAGATACAAGGGAAGATGATCCACTCTGGAAAAATAACTATAATTTTTCCCAAAAGAGGGAAAAAAAGATGCCTTGTGGCCTTGTTGCTTTCATTCAATATGGATCACTTCTGTTTTGCATCTCTACCATACCTTTAGCTCCAATTTCATGGTGATTAATATTCACATATCAGAACTACTTTGTCTTTGTAATCATTTAAGAGCCCAGCAAATGAGAGTCCTAAAAAACCCACTTCATAAGTTAATACTTTTATTTTACTGTGTAGACCTTAGAAGTGCATACTTGGCTTTCCACCAATATGTGTCCCTGGACTGCCTTTACTCCACAGTTCCATGTGTGCACACCTCTCAGGTCCTCTATGTTCAGACTAAACATCAACACACCCTCAAAGACTCTTCCAATCTTTCTATTTGAGGGAGGCATGCCCTCCCCTGAACTCTTGTGCATGTTGCCTCTTTCATTCATGCCACATCTCAACTGTTGCCTTCCATGAAGGGGATTTTCATTTGTGTTTGACCTCCTTGTTTCAACTCCAAAGAAGGAACTCTAAAATAGGGATGAATATTGTCGTGGGTTGCAACTGGCTGGGGCCAGCCTTGCAGGTGGTAAACAAACTTACCAAGACAGTCTTAGGTGAAGAAAGGCAGGTTTATTACAAAAAATATTAAAATACGAAGATATGTTGCAAGAGAGCAACGGGTGAAGATGGCTGAATAGAAAGAGCTCCGGTCTGCAGTTCCCAGCGTGATCGACACAGAAGACAGGTGATTTCTGCATTTCCAACTGAGGTACCTGGTTCATCGCATTGGGACTGGTTGGACAGTGGGTGCAGCCCATGGAGGGCGAGCTGAAGCAGGATGGGGCGTCGCCTCACCCGGGAAGCACAAGAGGTCGGGGGATTTCCCTTTCCTAGCTGAAGGAAGCCATGACAGACTACCTGGAAAAACTGGACACTCCCGCCAAAATACTGCACTTTTCCCAAGGTCTTATGCAACTGGCAGACAAGGAGGTTCTCTCCCATGGCTGGCTTGGCAGGTCCCACGCCCATGGAGCCTTGCTCACTGCTAGCGCAGCAGTCTGAGACTGAACTGTGAGGCAGCACCCTGGCTGGGGGAGGGGCGTCTGCCATTGCTGAGGCTTGAATAGGTAAACAAAATGGCCAGGAAGCTCAAACTGGGTGGAGCCCACTGCAGCTCAACAAGGCCCACTGCCTCTAGACTCCACCTCTGTGGGCAGGGCATAGCTGAATAAAAGGCAGCAGACAACTTCTGCAGACTTAAACGTCCCTGTCTGACAGCTCTGAAGAGAGCAGTGGTTCTCCCAGCACGGTGTTTGAGCTCAGAGAATGGACAGACTGCTTCCTCAAGTGGGTCCCTGAACCCTGTGTAGCCTAACTGGGAGACACCTCCCAGTAGGGGCTGATAGACACCTCATATAGGCAGCTGCCCCTCTGGGACAAAGCTTTCAGAAGAAGGATCAGGCAGCAATATTTGCTGTTCTGCAATATTTGCTGTTCTGCAGCCTCTGCTGGTGATACCCAGGCAAACAGGGTCTGGAGTGGACCTCCAGCAAACTCCAACAGACCTGCAGCTGAGGGGCTTGACTGTTAGAAGGAAAACTGACAAACAGAAAGGAATAGCATCAACAAAAAGGTCATCTACACCAAAACCCCACCTGTAGGTCACCAATATCAAAGACCAAAGATAGATACTACCACAAAGATGGGGAGAAACCAGAGCAGAAAAGCTGAAAATTCTAAAAATTAGAGTGCCTCTTCTCCTCCAAAGGATTGCAGCTCCTCACCAGCAATGGCACAAAGCTGGATGGATAATGACTTTGATGAGCTGACAGAAGTAGGCTTCAGAAGGTCGGTAATAACAAACTTCTCCAAGCTAAAGGAGGATGTTTGAACCCATCAGAAGGAAGCTAACAACCCTGAAAAAAGATTAGATGAATGGCTAACTGGAATAAACAGTGTAGAGAAGACCTTAAATGACCTGATGGAGCTGAAAACCATGGCATGAGAAATTCATGATGCATGCACAAGCTTAATAGCTAATTCGATCAAAAGGAAGAAAGGGTATCAGTGATTGAAGATCAAATTAATGAAATAAAGTGAGAAGACAAGGTTAGAGACAAAAGAGTAAAAAGAAATAAACAAGCCTTCAAGAAATATGGGGCTATGTGAAAAGGCCAAATCTATGTTTGATTGGCGTACCTGCCTGAAAGTGATGGGGAGAATGGAACCAAGTTAGAAAACACTCTTCAGTATATTATCCACGAGAACTTCCCCAACCTAGCAAGACAGGCTAACATTCAAATTCAAGAAATACAGAGAACACCACAAACATACTCCTTAAGAAGAGCAACCCCAAGACACATAATTGTTGGATTCACCAAGGTTGAAATGAAGGAAAAAGTGTTAAGGGCAGCCATAAGCCCATCAGACTAACAGTGGATCTCTCGGCAGAAACCCTACAAGCCAGAAAAGAGGGGGGACCAATATTCAACATTCTTAAAGAAAAGAATTTTCAACCCAGAATTTCATATCCAGCCAAACTAAGCTTCATAAGTGAAGGAGAAATAAAATCCTTTACAGACAAGCAAATGCTGAAAGATTTTGTCACCACTAGGCCTGCCTTACAAGAGCTCCTGAAGGAAGCACTAAACATGGAAAGAAACAACCAGTACCAGCCACTGCAAAAACATGCCAAATGGTAGAGACCATCAATGCTATGAAGAAACTGTATCAATTAACAGGCAAAATAACCAGTGACCATCATAATGACACAATCAAATTCATACATAGCAATATTAACCTTAAATGTAAATGGGCTAAATGCCCCAATTAAAAGACACAGACTGGAAAACTGGATAAGGAGTCAAGACCCATCAGTGTGCTGTATTCAGGAGACCCATCTCATATGCAAAGATGCACATAGGCTCAAAATAAAGGGATGGAGAAAGATCTACCAAGAAAATGGAAAGCAAAAAAAAAAAAAAAAAAAAAAAAAGGCAGCGGTTGCAATCCTAGTCTCTGATAAAACAGACTTTAAACCAACAAAGATCAAAAGAGACAAAGAAGGCCATTACATAATGGTAAATGGATCAATTCAACAATAAGAGCTAACTATCCTAAATATACATGCCCCCAATACAGGAGCACCCAGATTCATAAAGCAAGTCCTTAGAAACCTACAAAGAGACATAGATTCCCACACAATAATAAAGGGAGACTTTAACACCCCACTGTCAATATTAGATCAATGAGACAGAAGGTTAACAAGGATTTGAACTCAGCTCCACAACAAGTAGACCTAATAGACATCTACAGAACTCTCCACCCCAAAGCAACAGAATATACCTTCTTCTCAGCACCACATCACACTTATTCTAAAATTCACCACATAATTGGAAGTAAAGCACTCCTCAGCAAATGTAAAAGAACAGAAATCACTACAAACTGTCTCTCAGACCACAGTGCGGTCAAACTAGATCTCAGGATTAAGAAACTCACTCAAAACTGCACAACTACATGGAAACTGAACAACCTGCTCCTGAATGACTACTGGGTACATAAAGAAATGAAGGCAGAAATAAAGATGTTCTTCGAAACCAATGAGAACAAAGACACAACATATCAGAATCTCTGGGACACATTTAAAGCAGTGTGTAGAGGGAAATTTATAGCACTAAAAGCCCACAAGAGAAAGCAGGAAAGATCTAAAAGTGACACTCTAACATCACAGTTAAAAGAACTACAGAAACAAGAGCAAATAAATTCAAAAGCTAACAGAAGGCAAGACATAATTAAGAGCAGAGCAAACTCAAAGACATAGAGACACAAGAACCCTTCAAAAAAATCAATGAATCCAGGAGCTGGTTTTTTGAAAAGATCAACAAAATTGATACACCACTAGTAAGACTAATAAAGAAGAAAGGAGAGAAGAATCAAATAGACGCAATAAAAAATGATAAAGGGGATATCACCACCGATCCCACAGAAATACAAATTACCATCAGAGAATACTATAAACATCTCTATGCAAATAAACTACAAAATCTAGAAGAAATGGATAAATTTCTGGACACATACACTCTCCCAAGACTAAACCAGGAAGAAGCTGAATATCTGAATAGACAAATAACAGGCTCTGAAATTGAGCCTGGACCAGGACCAGATGGATTCACAGCTGAATTCTACCAGAGGTACAAAGAGAAGTTGGTACCATTCCTTCAGAAACTATTCCAATCAATAGAAAAAGAGGGAATCCTCCCTAACTCATTTTATAAGACCAGCATCATCCTGATACCAAAGCCTGGCAGAGACACAACAAAAAAAGAGAATTTTAGACCAATATCCCTGATGAACATGGATGCAAAAATCCTCAATAAAATACTGGCAAACCAAATCCAGCAGCACATCAAAAAGCTTATCCACCACAATCAAGTTGGCTTCATCCCTGGGATGCAAGGCTGGTTCAACACATTCAAATCAATAAACATAATCCATCACATAAATAGAACTAATGACAAAAACCACATGATTATCTCAATAGATGCAGAAAAGACCTTCAACAAAATTCAACAGGCTTTCATGCTAAAAACTCTCAATAAACTAGGTATTGATGGAAGGTATCTCAAAATAATAAAAGCTCTCTATGACAAACCCACAGCCAATATCATACTGAATGGGCAAAAACTGGAAGCATTCCCTTTGAAAACCGGCACAAGAAAAGGATGCCCTCTCTCACCACTCCTATTCAACATAGTGTTGGAAGTTCTGGCCAGGGCAATCAGGCAAGAGAAAGAAATAAAGGGTATTCAATTAGGAAATGAGGAAGTCAAATTGTCCCTGTTTGCAGATGACACAATTGTATATTTAGAAAACCCCATTGTCTCAGCCCCAAATCTCCTTAAGCTGATAAGCAAATTCAGCAATGTCTCAGGATACAAAATCAATGTGTAAAAATCACAAGCATTTCTATACACCATTAACAGACAGAGAGCCAAATCATGAGTGAACTCCCATTCACAATTGCTACAAAGAGAATAAAATACCTAGGAATCCAACTTACAAGGGATGTAAAGGACCTCTTCAAGGAGAACTACAAACCACTGCTCAACTAAATAAAAGAGGACACAAACAAATGGAAGAATATTCCATGCTCATGGATAGGAAGAATCAATATTGTGAAAATGACCATACTGCCCAAAGTAATTTATAGATTCAATGCCATCCCCATCAAGCTACCAATGATTTTCTTCACAGAATTGGAAAAAAAAAAACTACTTTAAATTTCATATAGAACCAAAAAAGAGCCCGCATTGCCCAGACAATCCTAAGCCAAAAGAACAAAGCTGGAGGCATCACGCTACCTGACTTCAAACTATACTACAAGGCTACAGTAACCAAAACAGCATGGTACTGGTATCAAAAGAGATATATAGACCAATGGAACAGAACAGAGCCCTCAGAAATAACACCACACATCTACAACCATATGACCTTTGACAAACCTGACAAAAACAAGAAATGGGGAAAGGATTCCCTATTTAATAAATGGTTCTGGGAAAACTAAACTGGCTAGCCATATGTAGAAAGCTGAAACTGGATCCCTTCCTTACACCTGATACAAAAATTAATTCAAGATGGATTAAAGACTTAAATGGTAGAGCTAAAACCATAAAAACCCTAGAAGAAAACCAAGGCAATACCATTCAGGACATAGGCATAGACAAGGACTTCACGACTAAAACACCAAAAGCAATGGCAACAAAAGCCAAAATAGACAAAAGGGATCTAATTAAACTAAAGAGCTTCTGCACAGCAAAAGAAACTACCATCAGAGTGAACAGACAACCTACAGAATGGAAGAAAATTTTTGCAATCTACGCTTCTGACAAAGGGCTAATATCCAAAATCTACAAAGAACTAAAACAAATTTACAAGAAAAAAGCAAACAACCCCATCAAAAAGTGGGCAAAGGATATGAACAGATACTTCTCAAAAGAAGACATCTATGCAGCCAACAGACAGATGAAAAAATGCTCATCATCACTGGTCATCAGAGAAATGCAAATCAAAACCACAATGAGATACCATCTCACGCCAGCTAGAAAGGCAATCATTAAAAAGTCAGGAAACAACAGATGCTGGAGAGAATGTGGAGAACTAGGAATGTTTTTACACTGTTGGTGGGAGTGTGAATTAGTTCAACCATTGTGGAAGACAGTGTGGCAATTCCTCAAGGATCTAGAACTAGAATTACCATTTGACTCAGTAATCCCATTACTGGGTATATACCCAGAGGATTATAAATCATGCTACTATAAAGACACATGCACATGTATGTTTATTGCGGCACTATTCACAATAGCAAAGACTTGGAACCAATCCAAATGTCCATCAGTGATAGACTGGATTAAGAAACTGTGGCATACATACACCATGGAATACTATGCAGCCGTAAAAAAGGATGAGTTCATGTCCTTTGCAGGGACATGGATGAAGCTGGAAAGCATCGTTTTGAGCAAACTATCACAAGGACAGAAAACCAAACACTGCATGTTCTCACTCATAGGTGGGAATTGAACAATGAGATCACTTGGATACAGGGTGGGGAACATCACACACTGGGGCCTGTTGGGGGGTGGGGGCCTGGGGGAGGGATAGCATTAGGAGAAATAGCTAATGTAATCGATAAGTTGATGGGTGCAGTGAACCAACATGGTACATGTATACCTATGTATCAAACCTGCACATTGTGCACATGTACCCTAGAACTTATAGTATAATAATAATAATAATAATAATAATAATAATAATAATAAAAACAAAAAAACTAAATATGCAACGACAGGTGAATGGATAAGCAAATTGTTTTGTATCCATACTAGAGAATGGCTGATTTTAATGTATGTGATGCCAATGAGTTTGCAGGATTCCTAAACATTTGAAAATTGGCTTTCTGTGAGCTGGTATATGCTGACTGTAGCACACCACTGGATATAAATAATGTATATATGAAAAAAAAAAAAGAGCAATGGGCAGTGCAGCTGAGAGAAGGCTGTCTGCCAAGAGGCAGGGGCTGGAGAGAAGTTCTACAGGGTCATGCTGGAGGGGCTATGTGTGGAATGAGGTATTTGGGAATAGGATGTTGTGCCAGATAGTGGTTTGTGGCTAGAATTTCTCAGAAGAATTGCTCTTCCCCACCCCAGGGCCCCCTCCTCATTGTTGCTAACCTATCTTCTCAGGACTCCACAAAGATGAAGCCCACATGTCAGTCCTAAGCATATTCCCAAGGCTTCCATCTGATTTAGTCACTGTTCCTTAATATTAAAATGGCTTGAGCAACTGTCATACACGTGAGGAGAAACCCTGTATCAATCCTTATGTCTCTCAGTACTCTGGCGTCTATTCCTTCGAGTCATCACTTTTTCTGACTGTTGCTTCCTGTGAAGTCTCTTTCTCATTCTTATCTCAGCTTCTCTGGCTGTCTCTTCTCTCTCTGTACATAGAACTCCATGGGGGAATACCAGCCTCTTTGACTTGATTTCTGCAAACACACTCCATGGAGGCAATGGTGTATGACAGGCTATCATTGAACCTCAGCTATAACAGAGGGGCTTGAACTGTTAGAGAAGCCCACTTAACATTGAAGCTGTCTGTTTATGGTCTTGAAAGCCATTGCCTGCTCCATCTGCTAGGAATTTTTTTTGTTGTTGATATTTATTTCGGGTTCCCCTGAGACAAGGATTTGTGAGCAACTGGTTTCCTTGGAAGGGGGTCTCAGAAAGTACTGATGGGCAGTAAGATGGGAAAGGAAGGAAAGCAAAAGAGGAAACATTGTTGAGGAGGTTCTCGTACTGCTAAGAGGGGCTCAAGCATGCTGAGAACCCGCTGAGAGCTGGTGGCACACTCAACTCTGAGTTGTTCTCCTCAGGATGAAGACCTGGGTATATATCTACCTATTCTCTTCCCTCACTGGTGAAGTCTTGCTCTAGCAGCAATGGCTCCCAGACATGAGGGATCCACACTATTGGTTCGTTGAGCAGGCTCAGAGGATGGGGATCATGGTTAGGCAGACAGACATGGGTAGCCAGTGGCTCCTAATGGGCTGTCTATAGCAACCTCCAGAGTAGGCCAAGGGCACAAAGGTAGGGAAAAGATGGTCTCTTCTACAGTTGCCTTTTCTGTGTGGTCCTATCTGTTGACAAGTTGTTCTAGTCTTCCACTCTCTCCCTACTCATATCTCTCACTTCCCTTTGCCAGATCCCTGAAACATTGTGTTTTTCATTGCCTCTAATACAATTGTAAAATTAAATTGATATAATAGCTTTCACGATTTGAGGTCTGCTTCTGGGAGGTATTAATATCTTAGCATTTCTGGCCTTCTCTGTAAGAAGGCAGAGTAGCTGTCAATGGTTCTGGTAAGAGCCTGGTCTAAATGAAGCAGATTTGGGGAAGTTGGAAGTTGTCCAGAGTGTGCTGAAGTGGCAGGGCCCTAATGATATTAACAGGACATTGACAGGGTCTGCTACACACTATAATATACAATGGATGCCCCCAAGTCTGTAGGCTCACCTCCTTGCCCTGTCTTTGCTTCTTGGACTCAAGTTCTCCTCTTTCTTGACTTATTCATTCATTGTACTGGAACACACCCTCCAGGAGCCACCTAAGAAATGATGCACAGGAAGTAAAATTTTGAGCTCCAACATATTTGAAACTGTCTTTATTCTCACACTTGGTTGATAATTTGGCTGAGTGTAGAAAATTGGGTTAAAAAAATTTTCTTTTAGAACTTTTAAACAGTATCTTTTTTTGTATTACAGTTTCCAATATTATAGTAGAAAAGCCAGAACCATTTTAATTCTTGATCATATAGGATGTTTTTATCCTTGTTTTTCTGTAGGGAAACTCATATTTTATTCTGAGAAATGTTGTTGGTATAGTTTTTTTTGTCTTCTTTATATTTTTCTCTTATTTTTAGAGAAATCTTACTGGTCAGATATTGATCCTTTTTGTCAATCTAGTAATTTTCTTAAATTTTCTCTCTTTTTCCCATACATCATCTCTGTCTCATCCCTTCCCCACATTCTTTGGGGATCATTTCTTGATTTTGTATTTTAACCATTTTCAAAAATATTCCCTTCATTTAAAAAAGTATTCTGTTTTTTATGGATACAGTGCCTACCTATATTTCTCAGAGGATATTAATAATAGTTTCTATGGAAGTTCTATTCTGCTCTCTGCAAACTTCTGTTGATGATGGTTCTAGGTTATATATTCATTTTAAAGAGTGAGACCCATATCACTGATTATTTAAGTTCTATGTACATGGTGAGATTGGGCAGTGAACTACTTTTTTCTTATTGGCAGTTGTAGCAGAAACTGCTGATTGCTTCCCAGTATCCATTTCCCCTACTTGTTTAGGTAATACAACTACCCTCACCCCTTTGAATATCAGCAGGGTATCCGCTGCTCTGTTAGATGCTCCCTCGGAGTAACCTCCCAATGTGCACAACTTCCTAGTTACTTTCTTAGGAAAGAAGTCACTTGCTTTCTTTTCTTTTCTTTTTTCTTTTTTTTTTTTGAGACGAGTCTCGCTGTGTCGCCCAGGCTGGAGTGCAGTGGCGCGATCTTGACTCACTGAAACCTCTGCCTCCCGGATTCAAGCAGTTCTCTGCCTCAGCCTCCCGAGTGGCTGGGATTACAGGCGCCCACCACCACGCCCGGCTAATTTTTTTGTATTTTTAGTAGAGATGGGGTTTCACCATCTTGGCCAGGCTGGTCTTGAACTCCTGACCTTGTGATCCACCCGCCTCGGCCTCCCAAAGTGCTGGGATTACAGGCGTGAGCCACTGCGCCCGGCCCCACTTGCTTTCCGCTTCCTCTTTCCCCCCGCGGTGAGCTGAAGTGCTGGCAAGAGTGATGGTGAGTCAGCCTCTGCCATTCTGAGGACAGTTCCTGCGGATGCTAGAGTAATGAAAGGGAAAGCATTTGGCCCTTGGATGACCTTGTCAACTTGGGTCAGAGCTCGTGACTGTTCTGAATGCACTTCCATCTCTGGACTGTCATATGAAAAAGAGATAAACTTCTGCCTTGTTAGCCGTTGTGTTTGAAGTGTGTTTGTTATAGCAGCTTAGCCTATGCCCTAACAAATTCAGAGGGATACCCAAATATCAGTTTTTACTGGTATCTCTTCTGTTCTGCCCAGTTTCTCTGGAGAATGATTCTCCAGTCTCCTGCCTGCTTATTTATTAACTTGAATTTCTATCGTGCAACAAAGAAGATTACTGCTTCTATTTTCCTGTGGAACTCCACTTCTCCCTCCACCTAGCACCCTGTTTCTGCTACAACGTTACTTTTGTATTGTCAACTTTAAAGCATTTACATTCTTTCTTGAAACAATTGTTCCTATTTCTAGAAGGCAGAGTCATCGCATTCATCAACTGCTTTTAGGTGACTTGTTTTTCCTTCTATTATGACTAGTTTATCTTTGTATTTGCCTCAGAGGTGTGTATACAGGATGTGCTTAATAATTATATCATGGGCAAACAGTACATGAAATTATGTGAAATACTAACTTGGTACTAATACAGTCCAGCAGAAGGTCAATTACAAAATTTCTGCTGCCAAATATTCTTCTCTGACTATAGGGAAACAAACTGTAAGTATGTGATTCAATCTCTCTCCAGGCTTAAAAAAAGAGCCTAGGAAAAAGGAAGCTGCTTAACTAGAAACTTTCAGATGAAAAATTATATGTGAATGGTGACTATGGGTTGAGCTGCCATTTTGTAATGTGGGAAATTAAGGTTCAGAAAAAGAATAAAGGTTTCCAATCCAGAAATAGCCCTGTGAATAGCTATCAGTCCTGTGTTCACAAGACTTTTACCAAATTATCAATTTTCTAGACACTGATAATTTTAAGTTTAAAGATATGATAAATTCTTCCTCATTGTAAATATTAATATATAACCAATAATGGATATTTATACTGAAAAAAATTTTTCCAAATTTTATTTTTCCATTTTTTATGTCTACCTCAGTACCCAGTAGAAGCTTAATAATTTCAAAAAGTTTAAATATATTAGTTTGTAACAATATTTATAACTTAAATGTGCTAAAATAAAAATGGAAAATCAAAGTCATGTAAGAGAGATAAATTTCCCTAAATTTAAATTTATACAGTAATTGTAATTGAGTTTATTTTGAGTCAAATTAAAATGGGAACTATAATGTATCACATATTTACATTGTTTGACAAAAATAAACATATCAGTTCTGCTTACAGGAGAAACATTTTTTCTTGTTTTGAAAATAGAAAGCAATTTTCTTGCATGAGTTATTTTACAAGGGACAGTGAATAACATAATATATAATGCCTTTAACTTCAGTTGATAAGTTCTTCAAAAAGCTAAATATATCAATCCCCTATAAAACTGAGATGATGAGACATGTTGGGGGGTGGAGCCAAGATGGCCGAATAGGAACAGCTCCAGTCTACAGCTCCCAGCGTGAGTGACGCAGAAGATGGATGATTTCTGCATTTCCAACAGAGGTACCGGGTTCATCTCACTGGGGAGTGTCGGAAAGTGGGTGCAGGACAGTGGGTACAGCGCACCGAGCATGAGCCGAAGCAGGGCGAGGCATTGCCTCACCCGGGAAGCGCAAGGGGTCAGGGAATTCCCTTTCCTAGTCAAAGAAAGGAGTGACAGACGGCACCTGGAAAATCAGGTCACTCCCACCCTAATACTGAGCTTTTCCAATGGTCTTAGCAAATGGCACACCAGGAGATTATATCCTGTGCCTGGCTCAGAGGGTCCTATGCCCACGGAGCCTCGCTCATAGCTAGCACAGCAGTCTGAGATCAAACTGCAAGGTGGCAGCGAGGCTGGGGGAGGGGCACCCACCATTGCCGAGGCTTGAGTAGGTAAACAAAGCAGCCAGGAAGCTTGAACTGGGTGGAGCCCACCACAGCTCAAGGAGGCCTGCCTGCCTCTGTAGACTTCACCTCTGGGGGCAGGGTATTGCCAAACAAAAGGCAGCAGAATCCTCTGCAGACTTAAATGTCCCTGTCTGACAGCTTTGAAGAGAGCAGTGGTTCTCCCAGCACACACTGGAGATTTGAGAACGGACAGACTGCCTCCTCAAGTAGGTCCCTGACCCCTGAGTAGCCTAAGTGGGAGGCACCCCCGAGAAGGGGCAGACTGACACCTCACATGGCTGGGTACTCCTCTGAGACAAAACTTCCAGAGGAATCATCAGGCAGCAACATTTGCTGTTCACCAATATCTGCTGTTCTGCAGCCTCTGCTGCTGATACCCAGGTAAACAGGGTCTGGAGTGGACCTCCAGCAAACTCCAACAGACCTGCAGCTGAGGGTCCTGACTGTTAGAAGGAAAACTAACAAACAGAAAGGACATCCACACCAAAACCCCATCTGTTTGTCACCATCATCAAAGACCAAAGGTAGATAAAACCACAAAGATGGGGAAAAAACAGAGCAGAAAAACTGGAAACTCTAAAAATCAGAGTGCCTCTCCTCCTCCAAAGGAACGCAGCTCCTCACCAGCAATGGAACAAAGCTGGACAGAGAATGACTTTGACGAGTTGAGAGAAGAAGGCTTCAGATGATCAAACTACTCTGAACTAAAGGAGGAAGATCGAACCCATGACAAAGAAGTTAAAAACCTTGAAAAAAAATTAGACGAATGGCTGACTAGAATAATCAATGCAGAGAAATCCTTAAAGGACCTGATGGAGCTGAAAACCAAGGCACAAGAACTACGTGATGAATGCAGAAGCCTCAGTAGCTGATTCAATCAACTGGAAGAAAGGGTATCAGTGATGGAAGATCAAATGAATGAAATGAAGTGAGAAGAGAAGTTTAGAGAAAAAAGAATAAAAAGAAATGAACAAAGCCTCCAAGAAATATGGGACTATGTGAAAAGACCAAATCTATGTCTGACTGGTGTACCTGAAAGTGACAGGGAGAATGGAACCAAGTTGGAAAACACTCTGCAGGATATTATCCAGGAGAACTTCCCCAATCTAGCAAGGCAGGCCAACATTCAAATTCAGGAAATACAGAGAACGCCACAAAGATACTCCTCGAGAAGAGCAACTCCAAGACACATAATTGTCAGATTCACCAAAGTTGAAATGAAGGAAAAAATGTTAAGGGCAGCCAGAGAGAAAGGTTGGGTTACCCTCAAAGGGAAGCCCATCAGACTAACAGCTGATCTCTTGGCAGAAACTCTACAAGCCAGAAGAGAGTGGGGGCCAATATTCAACATTCTTAAAGAAAAGAATTTTCAACCCAGAATTTCATATCCAGCCAAACTAAGCTTCATAAGTGAAGGAGAAACAAAATACTTTACTGACAAGCAAATGCTGAGAGATTTTGTCTCTCAGGCCTGCCCTAAAAGAGCACCAGGCCTGCCCTAAAAGAGCTGCTGAAGGAAGCACTAAACATGGAAAGGAACAACCGGTACCAGCCACTGCAAAAACATGCCAAATGGTAGAGACCATCGAGGCTAGGAAGAAACTGCATCAACTAATGAGCAAAATAACCAGCTAACATCATAATGACAGGATCAAATCCACACATAACAATATTAACCTTAAATGTAAATGGGCTAAATGCTCCAATTAAAAGACACAGACTGGCAAATTGGACAAACAGTCAAGACCCATCAGTGTGCTGTATTCAGGAAACCCATCTCACATGCAGAGACACATAGGCTCAAAATAAAGGGATGGAGGAAGATCTACCAAGCAAATGGAAAACAAAAAAAGGCAGGTGTTGCAATCCCAGTCTCTGATAAAACAGACTTTAAACCAGCAAAGATCAAAAGAGACAAAGAAGGCCATTACATAATGGTAAAGGGATCAATTCAACGAGAAGAGCTAACTATCCTAAATATACATGCACCCAATACAGGAGCACCCAGATTCATAAAGCAAGTCCTTAGAGACCTAGAAAGAGACTTAGACTCCCACACCATAATAACGGGAGACTTTAACACCCCACTGTCAACATTAGACAGATCAACGAGACAGAAAGTTAACAAGGATATCCAGGAATTGAACTCAGCTCTGCACCAAGAGGACCTAATAGACATCTACAGAACTCTCCACCCCAAATCAACAGAATATACATTCTTCTCAGCACCACACCGCACTTATTCCAAAATTGACCACATAGTTGGAAGTAAAGCTCTCCTCAGCAAATGTAAAAGAACAGAAATTATAACAAACTGTCTCTCAGACCACAGTGCAATCAGACTAGAACTCAGGATTAAGAAACTCACTCAAAACCGCTCAACTACATGGAAACTGAACAACCTGCTCCTGAAGGACTACTGGGTACATAAAGAAATGAAGGCAGAAATAAAGATGTTCTTTGAAACCGACGAGAACAAAGACACAACATACCAGAATCTCTGGGACACATTCAAAGCAGTGTGTAGAGGGAAATTTATAGCACTAAATGCCCACAAGAGAAAGCAGGAAAGATCTAAAATTGACACCCTAACATCACAATTAAAAGAACTAGAGAAACAAGAGCAAACACATTCAAAAGCTAGCAGAAGGCAAGAAATAACTAAGATCAGAGCAGAACTGAAGGAAATAGAGACACAAAAAACCCTTCAAAAAATCAATGAATCCAGGAGCTGGTTTTTTGAAAAGATCAACAAAATTGATAGACCACTAGCAAGACTAATAAAGAGGAAAAGAGAGAAGAATCAAATAGACACAATAAGAAATGATAAAGGGGATATCACCACCAATCCCACAGAAATACAAACTACCATCAGAGAATACTATAACCACCTCTACGCAAATAAACTAGAAAATCTAGAAGAAATGGATAAATTCCTTGACACATGCACCCTCCCAAGACTAAACCAGGAAGAAGTTGAATCTCTGAATAGACCAATAACAGGCTCTGAAATTGAGGCAATAATTAATAGCTTACCAACCAAAAAAAGTCCAGGACCAGACGGATTCACAGCCGAATTCTACCAGATGTACAAGGAGGAACTGGTACCATTCCTTCTGAAACTATTCCAATCAATAGAAAAAGAGGGAATCCTCCCTCACTCATTTTATGAGGCCAGCATTATCCTGATACCAAAGCCTGGCAGACACAACAAAAAAAGAGAATTTTAGACCAATATCCCTGATGAACATGGATGCAAAAATCCTCAATAAAATACTGGCAAACCGAATCCAGCAGCACATCAAAAAGCTTATCCAACATGATCAAGTGGGCTTCATCCCTGGGATGCAAGGCTGATTCAGTATATGCAAATCAATAAATGTAATCCAGCATATAAACAGAACCAATGACAAAAACCATATGACTATCTCAATAGATGCAGAAAAGGCCTTTGACAAAATTCAGCAGCCCTTCATGCTAAAAACTCTCAATAAATTAGGTATTGATGGGACGTATCTCAAAATAATAAGAGCTATCTATGACAAACGCACAGCCAATATCATACTAAATGGGCAAAAACTGGAAGCATTCCCTTTGAAAATTGGCACAAGACAGGGATGTCCTCTCTCACCACTCCTATTCACCATAGTGTTGGAAGTTCTGGCCAGGGCAATCAGGCAGGAGAAGGAAATAAAAGGTATTCAATTAAGAAAAGAGGAAGTCAAATTGTCCCTGTTTGCAGATGACATGATTGTATATCTAGAAAACCCCATCGTTTCAGCCCCAAATCTCCTTAAGCTGACAGGCAACTTCAGCAAAATCTCAGGATACAAAATCAATGTACAAAAATCACAAGCATTCTTATACACCAATAATAGACAAACAGAGAGCCAAATCATGAGTGAACTCCCATTCACAATTGCTTCAAAGAGAATAAAATACCTAGGAATCCAACTTACAAGGGAAGTGAAGGACCTCTTCAAGGAGAACTACAAACCACTGCTCAATGAAATAAAAGAGGATACAAACAAATGGAAGAACATTCCATGCTCATGGGTAGGAAGAATCAATATCATGAAAACGGCCATATTGCCCAAGGTAATTTATAGATTCAATGCCATCCCCATCAAGCTACCAATGACTTTCTTTACAGAATTGGAAAAAACTACTTTAAAGTTCATATGGAACCAAAAAAGAGCCTGCATTGACAAGTCAATCCTAAGCCAAAAGAACAAAGCTGGAGGCATCATGCTACCTGACTTCAAACTATACTACAAGGCTACAGTAACCAAAACAGCATGGTACTGGTACCAAAACAGAGATACAGACCAATGGAACAGAACAGAGCCCTCAGAAATAATGCCGCATATCTACAACCATCTGATCTTTGACAAACCTGACAAAAACAAGCAATGGGGAAACGATTCCCTATTTAATAAATGGTGCTGGGAAAACTAAACTGGCTAGCCATATGTAGAAAGCTGAAACTGGATCCCTTCCTCACACCTTATACAAAAATTAATTCAAGATGTATTAAAGACTTAAATGTTAAAGATGAAAACAATAAAAACCCTAGAAGAAAACCTAGGCAATACCATTCAGGACATAGGCATGGGCAAGGACTTCATGTTGAAAACACCAAAAGCAATGGCAACAAAAGCCAAAATTGACAAATGGGATCTAATTAAACTAAAGAGCATCTGCACAGCAAAAGAAACTACCATCAGAGTGAACAGGCAACCTACAGAATGGGAGAAAATTTTTGCAATCTACTCATCTGACAAAGGGCTAATATCCAGAATCTACAATGAACTCAAACAAATTTGCAAGAAAAAAACAAACAACCCCATCAAAAAGTGGGCGAAGGATATCAACAGACACTTCTCAAAAGAAGATATTTATGCAGCCAAAAGACACATGAAAAAATGCTCACCATCATTGGCCATCAGAGAAATGCAAATCAAAACCACAATGAGATACCATCTCACACCAGTTAGAATGGCGATCATTAAAAAATCAGGAAACAACAGGTGCTGGAGAGGATGTGGAGAAATAGGAACACTTTTACACTGTTGGTGGAACTGTAAACTAGTTCAACCATTGTGGAAGTCAGTGTGGCGATTCCTCAGGGATCTACAAGTAGAAATACCATTTGACCCAGCAATCCCATTACTGGGTATATACCCAAAGGATTATAAATCATGCTGCTATAAAGACACATGCACACGTATGTTTATTGCGGCACTATTCACAATAGCAAAGACTTGGAAACAACTCAAATGTCCAACAATGATAGACTGGATTAAGCAAATGTGGCACATATACACCATGGTATACTATGCAGCCACAAAAAAGAATGAGTTCATGTCCTTTGTAGGGACATGGATGAAGCTGGAAACCATCATTCTCAGCAAACTATCACAAGGACAAAAAACCAAACACTGCATGTTCTCACTCATAGGTGAGAATTGAACAATGAGAACACATGGACACAGGAAGGGGAACATCACACACCGGCGCCTGTTGTGGGGTGGGGGGAGGGGGGAGGGATAGCATCTGGAGATATACCTAATGTTAAATGACGAGTTACTGGGTGCAGCACACCAACATGGCACATGTATACATATGTAACTAACCTGCATGTTGTGCACATGTACCCTAAAACTTAAAGTATAATAATAAAAAAAAGAACAGAAAAAAAAGTAAAACTGATATAGTAAAGCATCAGTCAGCATTTATATTTTTGTAAAACATTCAGCTATTGAGATCCAGGCAGGTGTATACTGGATATCTAATTTTATAACAAAGATAGACCCTGGAATACAGAGAGCAATGAATGAATAGTATCTCACTTAAACTAGAGGTCCCAAAATTGTCTAGTTTTACATTTATGTCCATGAGCCATTTGAATTAATTTTTGTATGTGGTGAAAAGTAAGAGTCAAGAATCTTTTTTCCCTCTTATATGGACATCCAAGTGTTCTGGCATCATTTGTGGAAAAGACTACCCTTTTTTATGGAATTACCATTGCAATTCATCTATAACCAAGTAACCATTTACGTATTGGTGTATTTCTCTAGTCTATTTTTTCCATTGACCTATATGTCCATTCCTATGCCAGTTTCAAAATGTCTTGACTATTGTGGCTTTATAATAAGCCTTCAAATCAGAAGTGTGAGTTCTTCAGCTTTTTTTTTTTTTTTTTTGCAAAATGTTTTGGTTTTCTAGGTCTTCGGCATATCCATGTACATTTTAGAAATAGCTTGTCAATTTCTATATAAATATCTACTGGGATTTGGATTAGAATGCTTTGACTCTGTAGATCAATTTGGGGAGAAGTGACTTAATAATATTGTATATAAATCCATGAACACGGCATATTACTCTATTTATTTTCTTTGATTTTTTTCATGAATGTTTTGGAGTTTTCATCTGCCATGCACCATAAAAAGCTTTAATGTATGTCCATTTAAAAACTTTTTATTTTGAAATAATTATAGATTCATAGAAAGTTATAAAAATAATATAGAGAAATCATATATATGTGTCTATATAATATATATACATATAATATATATAATACATACATATATAATATATAATATATACATATATAATATATGTGTATATACAATATATACACATATATATGTGTATATATAATATATACACATATATATGTGTATATATAATATATACACATATATATGTGTATATATAATATATACACATATATAATACATACATACACACACACATACACACACACACACACATATATATATATATATATATATATATATATATATATATATATATACAGAGAAATCCCATGTACCCTTCACCCAGTTTCCTCTCTTTGGTTATATCTTATGAAACTATAATATGATACCAAAACTAGAAAATTGACATTGGTTTAATATGTGCTTATGGTTCTATGCTATTTTATCACATGCATAGACTCATGTAACCACCACAGCAATCAAAATACAGAATTATTCCATCACCACAGAGATTCCCCCTTGAGCTACTACTTTAAAATCACACCTGGCCCTCTCCCCTGGCCCACCATTCCTAACTCTGGCAATTAGTAATCTCTTCTCCCTCTCTATCATTTTGTCCTTTTGACAATGTTTTACAAATGAAATCACACAGCATGTGACCTTTTGAAATTTTATTTTCACCCAGCATATTGCCCTTATGATGGTAGTGCTTTTTAAATTTCAAGTTCCAATTGTTCGTTGCAAGTGTATAGGAATATAACTGATTTTTGTATATTGATCATGTATCTGTGGCCTTATTAAATTTTCTCATAAGTACTATTAGGTTTTCTATAAATTCTCTGGGATTTACTACATAAATGATCATGTTGTTTGCAAATAAAAGGTTTTATTTCTACTTTCCCAAACTGCATGCCTTTTATTTATTTTCCTGCTTTATTGCATGGGCTATATATTCCAATAAATGTATTGGTGAGAGTAGAGATCCTTGCCTTGTTCCTAATCTTAAACATCTGTGTTTCAGCATAAAGTGATATTATTTGTAGATTTTCTGCATGGGGTTTCTTACCTCAATAGTTCTTTTTCTAAAGGTCAGGGAATTAATGTGAGTGTCCCACCAACTACTCTACATTGGGAACCATGGAAATGACCACCAGGTGGGCCATAGACACAGTGGAGATGGACATGAACTATGAATCCTTTTTTGCCTGGCCCCTGTAGCTCCTACTTGAACTATCATACTTTCTGTTCCCAGGTACCACAGGTAGCTCAAATCCAACAAGTTTCTAAAAAGCACAGTGACCAATTACTTAAATCAATTACTGAAGTTTCCATTGCGGAAGGACCAGAGAATCACTACTATGTATACCTACTGTGGGGTTGCACAGTGCTTCCTCATATGGACCTGTTCTCACTTACTGCTGAGGAAATTGTCAGAAAAAAAAAGGGCAATCAGCAAGATAAAAGGCAAGAGATCATGATTTTCTATTCTAAAAGATCTTAGAATCTTCTCTTCTAAGAGATCATGAGCCTGGAGTGGCCAGCCTCAGTCTTTGGATTGTTCATTCTTGATCTCTTTTTACATTAAGCAATCACCAGACTGGAGGGCCCTTGCCCTTAGGAACACCATATACTGTAGCCTTCTTCAAAGACTCCTACAGGTCAGGACATCCTCACCCTCCCAGGCTGCAATCCCACCTTGCTGCCCTAAATGCTTCACTCTTAAGGAGGCACTCACTCACAGTGTCATACAAGTGCAGAATCAGTACTTGCACAACCCTGAGAGCAAGTGCCTCCTTAAGTTTTGCATCCTAGGCACATTTTTTGAATCATGTCAGTCCTGACTATGCTGTCCAAAACAGGATTTTTCACCCACCTTTTGCTTCTGAAGATTAAGTAACTGCTATAAGCCCTGCTACTCTGGAATCTGTTATCCTCATTGCTATTGGGCAGGCAAATTTGGTAATAGCCCATCCTACCATAAGACGCAGCCTACAGAGGGCCAGCCACTATTGAGTTTTGCAGTGATGTTGGTCCCTGTCATGGGTGCATTCCTTGTTGGCTTGTTAAATGGTACATCCTCAGGGTTCTCATGAAGAAAATAGCTGGTGGGTCTATGGCCTTATAAAATAGATAGTTCTAACAAAATCTAATTCTCTGACACTGTGATTTCTTCCGACTTAGTTTGCCATGGCAGTTCTGGCATCTCTATCCCATTTAATATTGACCATCATTTTTCTTAAGCATCATATTAGAACTGACTCCCAGGGCACTTCCCAAGGTGTTAAATCCTGTGATATGGGAGGTTGCCCCTATGCTGATAAACTCTACCTTATCTAGCTTTAGGATCCACTCCCAGGCATACTCTCCCAGTTCCTCAGGATCCATGCCCAGGAATAATCTCCCTGTTCCTGGCAACACATGCTAGCTAGATCCCATGGCTCCTGGGTTTAATTTCTCTCTTCTTTTAGCAGGGACAGCACTTTCTCAGTCAGTTCACACTGAGATTTGACCCCAGCTATTGGCCTGGTGACTAGTGATAAGGTGGGGACAGATCTTGAGGAGGGCAATTATGGCCTTATATAGCACCTGCTTAATTTGATCCTCTGCATAGTGTATAAGCATGGGGAAAGGACACTATTATAACAAGGTAAAATGGGCCAATTATCCATCAATTAGACAGTAGGAATAAGGTTTTTATTTGAAATATACTGCACAGTGTGGTGAATATAGTAAATAATAATGTAGTGTATATAAGGGCCCTGAGTTTCAGTAGGAGACTTGGAAAGGCTAAGAATTCATCCTTTGTTGAGGTCCTGCTGTTCTTTTTAGGTAAGGTCCTGAGCCTGGTCCTCAGCATAATTAACCCTCAGCTACCTGAGATAAGAGTTTCTTTTGATAGTAACAAGGAGACCTTCTGGCTTTCACTCTTGTATTTGCATTGTGATTGATTGCTTTGTGCCTTCATTTTCAGTTAAGGGGTGCTACTCAGCCACCCAATTTCACAATCCCTATTATTGCCATTTCCATCCTACCTCTCAAATGCCAGAGACATGGCACAAGCCAGTGCATCTTCCCCATCTATGTTCCATGACAGCTCACCGGGTAAAAATGTGAATAGTTGCCCTGCTACAGCAAACGGGGCTATCGATACCCCACCTTTTACAAGTGATGGGGTCTTGATTGCCAGTTGGCTGGTGGGTGATACAATTCAAGAATCCCATCCTTAGAGTCTGCTTCCTAGTTCCAGGTGCATGTGAATTTTTAAGAATGTGCCCTTCAGGAAGAAAAATAAAATTTAAAGAAATGAAGCAGCCAAATAGGGAGGGGAAAGAACTGAGCAAGAACATGTTCACAGGAAATGCATAGCCTACACCAAATCAACAGGGGCTTGAGTACAAATTGCATCACAGGGTCATACAGACTTGAGTCAAGGGATTAGGGCTCTTGTACCCCAATACCAGTACGACATTGGTTGCTTCTTGGGGGGTGGGGCATAACTTCCTTGGTACATCAGGATTACATGGCTGCTATTATAACAAGGCATTCTCTGCAGAATGTCACAGGTATAACCCCTTAACTGCAGCACCAGCAGCAACTGGAGGGTGAGCATATCACTGGGTAAAACCCAACTGTGTTCATTTACTCCCAAGTGGCCCAGTCAGCAGACTCACAGGTAGTCATTTTGGCCAATGAGTGAAAATTATTTTGGTATAATGAAAAATCTTGGATTTTGGAATCATTCTTGGGCAGAATTTGGCTTAGTCACTAAAATATCTGAGAGATTTAGGGCAGCTTACATAATCTAGCTGAACCTGTCTCCTCATCTATGCAATGAGGAAGATTAGAGCCATGTCACAGGGTTGTTTGAGATCAATTATGATAATTTATGTAAAGTTCTGGTACATCTCATGCTCAAAAATTAAAGCCAGGTTAACAAACCTTCTGGTTAATCATTTAAATGACTTATTTATTTATTTATTTTTTGAGACAGAGTTTCGCTATGTTGCCCAGGCTGGAGTGCAGTGGTGTGATCTCACCTCACTGTAAACTCTGCCTCCCAGGTTCAAGCAATTCTTGTGTCTCAGCCTCCCAAGTAGCAGGAATTACAGACTTTCACCACCACGCCCAGCTAATTTTTGTATTTTTAGTATAGACTGGGTTTTTCCATGTTGGCCAGGCTGGTGTCAAACTCCTCGCCTCAAGTGATCTACCCGCCTCAGTCTCCCAAAGTGTTGGGATTATAGGCATGAGCCATTGCACCCCGCTAAACTACTTTACTGTGTTCCTCTTTCTAAAGGAAGAAACCACTTAGTGGATTTGTTTTCTTTTCTCTCTAGAAAGTTGAGATTTAACTGTGCTTTCATCAATATTCCAAAGACGTTTGCTCAGTTATATTTGGTAGTTCTATTTATTTTTGAGAGATAAGCATTTTGGCTATTATTGGTATGTAGTAGTCATTCCAACTTAACTGGGTAATGAAGACCACTTTGGGACAAATTCCAGAATTTACTCTCTTGTTCGAACAGCAATCTTTGTCTCTTACAGGAACAGAAACCCACGGCTGGTGGGCAAAAGATACAACTCAGATTGGTGGTTTTGTCTGTCTCACTTTAAGAGACTAAATTTAGGAAATGGTCTGGGTGAATAGCTAGGTAGTTGCAGATAGCTAAGAGAAATTTTGTCCTGTGGTTATCTTCCCGTGAAGAATAACAAATGTGCCTTTCAAAAACATATCTTTTGTTGCTTACAGGCAAAATGCTGGGTTTCACTCTGAACAAGCACCATTGAGATATTCTGTAAGTCACAATAAATCTTCCTTTCTTCCTAATTTATCATCCTCAAGCATTTAAATTTCAGGGCAAGCTTTTTCTGTGCTGCAAGCACAAACTAGAATAGTTTTCAGAGTAAGATAGTATCACAGAGTGAATCATTTGGTACATCAGAAATTCCAGGAAGTAGGAAAACGAAGTTCCCACTTACATATATTTCTTGTAAGAGTAATTATTGTTTGAACTAGATTCTTATTTTTAAAAGTAGAGACTTGTTTTACTCATTCTGGCTGGACTGTTTAGAAAAGTTTAACTTTGCAAACTTTAAAAAAAAATGTTCATTCTTCTATGGGCAGTTTATCTGCCTCGGTGAGGATATTGCTTCCTGGACAGGAACTGCTTCTCAGCCTGGTCTTTCATGCTGCGACCTCTCCTTCCTGGAGACCCACCACTTACCCTGTGTGACAGGAGCTGCAGTCCTTTTGCCTTTTGCTCTTGTTCCCTCAGAGAAGAATTATGCATATACCCACAAAGGGACTCATCACTGGCTCCGCCTGAACAGTGATAAAGTCTCAGGGAGATACATACAGAATCTCAGAGGGTGCCCCAGACTCTTCTCCCCAAGAAAGGGCCATATCAGCTCCCCTCTGTCAGAACTGTGCTCAGCATCTGGTCTACCAGTCACACTCCTTGCCCCTCCCTTTCAGTGACCCATTGTTGGGACTTTGCCAAGGCTGAACTCCTTGGCATAGGCATATTTCAATGGTTACTTAGAGAACTTTTCTTCCTCTTGATTCAAGGTATCGCAGAAGGCGGAGCCCCATTGTGTCCCCTCTGAGACTCTGCCATGTCCCTCAAGTTGCAGAGCATTTTCCCAGCACTAGGCTGGGAAATATAGTCAAATGGTGGTAGTTCACAAGATTTTCGAGAGAATAAAGTGACTATGTTATTAATAAAAATGAAGAATCTTAAAATGTCAAGGAAATTGTTCTAATTTAGATAGAAGCTGTTATTAGGTCTAAAACAACAAAGTGATCATATGCAAAAATCTTTGCAGAGCTGCTTTAGAAAGGAATAACCTTTAATTTTTAAATCAATTTCTTATATTTAAATAAACATTCCTAAATGCTTAAGATACAATTATTTTCCAATTAAGTTAGTTATACCATCTACAATCTCAGTTACTAATTGATCAGAAAAAATTTCCATCCTCAAAGCACAATATACTGCCTGCTATCACAAATTCTGAGTGAATTTGCTGAAGTAAAATTTAAGCACTTTGTAAACTATAAAGCCTTATACAAATGTAATAAGGCAGAAATTTAAATAATAATAATGATAATAAGTACTGCATTTATTTACTTTAAAAAAAGTAAAAGCTAAGGCCCAAAATGTGGCAAGGCAAGGGTTAAAAAAAAGTTTTCCTTTGTCTAGCAGCTTATTTTAAGGATAGTTATAAGATAATCCTGTCTGAATAGCCAAGGCCAAAGGAATGGGTTCCAAACACCCCTCCATTTTAGAGCAAGGTTAAAGGAAAAAAAAAAAAAAGACAAATGCTTTTACTGTTACTCTTTTCCCAGGCTTCTTGAGCATTATGTTTCACAAATGTCTATATTTAGCCAGTTTTTATTTTTCTTTCGATGCAGCTACAAGGTCACCAGCTATGCAAGATCGCAAATTATGTTATGTTATAAATTAAGTGACCTGTCACTGTATAATTAACTGCTTTTGTTTTGCTTTGGTAAGGCCGCTTATAAAAATGCCGCTCTATTTTTATTCAATGCACAGCTTTTTGGATATAAATCCTCTGAGCCGGTGCATACCTAAAAATAAACAAATCCTCCTGTACTCCTTATTGGTCTCTCCGTTCCTCAGTTTACCACAATGTTTATGGCAATCACGAAGGGACTGAAGACTGCAGGCTTACTGTCTCCTTTGGGTCTGGGGGTTGGAGCCTGGGCCTTGGGAAACCTGTGACCCCAGGCGCTGCTAGGAGAACTTCAGCCCAGAGGGGAGATCAGCTCTACCGTGACCTGGCGCCCCCTACCTAGCCGTGCAACAGAACCTAAAAGGAGCTACAGGACGATTTCAGAAACGGGACGCTTCAGGAAACGTGGTAAGGTTTTGGGAGCCCAAGGCAGGACCCGTCCCTTGGATGGAAGGGGAGCCTGATCACCTCCTGGGGTGTGCCGAATAGTCCGACCCACAGGGGCTGGGGGCGAGGGGAGTGGCTGGTCAATCCAGATGAAACTCACACCCCGCCAAGACAGGACGAGAGTGGCTTGCTAAATCAGCTAGGAATCTGGAGGTGGCGAGAGTGGCTCACCACCCCAACTAGGAATCTAGAGGTGGCGAGAGTGGCTCACCACCCCAACTAGGAATCTGGAGGTGGCGAGAGTGGCTCACCACCCCAACTAGGAATCTGGAGGTGGCGAGAGTGGCTCACCACCCCAACTAGGAATCTGGAGGTGGCGAGAGTGGCTCACCACCCCAACTAGGAATCTGGAGGTGGCGAGAGTAGCTCACCACCCCAACTAGGAATCTGGAGGTGGCGAGAGTGGCTCACCACCCCAACTAGGAATCTGGAGGTGGCGAGAGTGGCTCACCACCTCAGTTACAAACATGGGAACTAAAAGTGTGTGAAAGTGTGTAAATGGAGGGGCCTAGTTAGTCACAACAGCTGCGAAGTGGGGAGTCACAGATCTCTTAGTGTGGACTGTGTGCTCCAAGAAAGTGTGGGGCCGACTAAGACTAGTGTCTATCTGCATAGGGCTAATAGGAGCTGCGCTACAGCTCAGAGTTGTAGCAGGAATAGGGAAGTCTCCAAAGCCAAGCAGCATCTAAAAGTTTCTCCGTTCCTCAGTTTACTGCAACAGTAACACATTGTTATTCAAATATAGGGAAGTTTTTATGAATGAATGAGAAATGTATGAGATTGAGAGAACTTGCCAGAACTGGTTGAAGAGCTGTTGTTATGGAAATTAATGATTGTTATGTTATTTAAATGGAATGTCCTTTTAGCAAAGTTGTAGTTTTCTCTGTCATTAGCCAACATTGTTTCTTGAGAGAACTAATTTTTATAACATGTTAAAGTATTTATAAACATATTCCCTGAAACAGCTATTGTAGCATCAAAAATGGAGGATTTGGATGGCTTAGGGGGGAAATCTTGACCCAAAAATAATAGCTGGGTGCTCTTCTGAGAGCTAGTAGATTGACATAAAGTGCTGAAGCCATGCTTTTTTGATCATTGAGGAAGAAAGCGTGATTTATTAAGGAAGCAACTGTATTTGGAAGATAACTCTTCACATCAGAAGCATGAAAACTATTGAGGGATGGTGTTAATTTAGGTAACAGTGTCAGTACCGGATAAAGAGGCCAACTCCACCTCTGAGTTCCCTTCTTATATTCTGAGGAAATGGAGGAAGACTTTCTCCAATCTGTCAACAAGTCTTTGAATTATTTCTCCATGTTCCTACTTATTTTTTCTTTTATCTTCTGGTCCCTCAAATCTTCACATTACTTCTGATCCCAACCCCCTGAAAGGGTGTTTAATGTCTTGTCAACCTTAGCCTCCCTTTCTGATCCTACCTCCCACTTCTCTTGCAACAGCAATCTGATGCCAGAGTTGCCTATTGCCTCAGTATATTCTACCTCTCCCATTTTTTTCAATGACTCAACTTTACTCACCCTTGAAGATGTACCTCCCCCTTACTCTGTGAAGCCTTCCCTTGACAATCCAGTCCTCTGTTCTGTCACCACCTTCTCCTATAGAACTCCTTTTCTGTCCTAATCTTCTGGCACTTGTGTGACTGGTTCTATGGTATGACTATTTATATGGCTATAGTTTAACTTTTCAAATACATCACAAGTATGTCCCTTAATATTACCCAAAAAGCCTAGCAAAGAGCTCTACATATGTATTTATTTATTTATAAAAATTAAAAGCTATGTTTTCTATTTCTATAGAGGTGTTTAATCTGAGGGTTAGGAAAGGCTGTGTGGAGGCTGTGGACTTATATACAGGTGAATTTCTATTCCTCGCTACAAAAACAAACATTTCCTTTGGACTGACTGTTGCTATGCTTTCTGAGCTCCCCTGAGTTGAAACTTTGGGAGAAGAAGTGAGAGAAACAATGTTTGACTTGAGCTAATCCTTGGCCTCCTGGGTGCTTCCGACTTGCTCTTTCTCTTGTGTTTTGTGTGTGTGGAGGGGTGGGGATGGGGTCCTCTACCATCACTGAGGATCTGTTAACAATTCCCTGGGTGTGGTCAAACCCATCTCCGATTCTGGTTGACCACTTGCTTTTTCCTATCTCCTCGATATCTGGTGACTCCTAGAGGTTTTGTTTTTGTTTTATTTTGTTTTTACTGAGGTCTTTCTTCCACCCTGGTGGCTCTTTTAGACACCTGAAGACAACTCCACCATGAATTACTTTCTCATGCATCTGATTTCTAATCCCCTGGAAGTACTCACCCCTCCATTTTTCTGAATAACATCTGGAGTATAGGTTATTATACAATCTCAAAGCAGCAGAGATCTTTCATTTGTTCCCACTATCAGAACCACTGGACAGCCCATTTTTTGCATTTTAGATTTCCCTGGCAGGAGTCCAACACTAATCCACTGTGTCCCCCTGTCCAAACTGAGAGGAGCCATATTAGGCTTTTTCAGTGGGCTCCTTAGAGTCCCTCTCTCAATGTGAAGGAAAAGTGCACCCACACATTTTCCTCATGCAAGTGATGGAATGGGGCTCACAGGAAAACAAATGCTTCACTACAAAAAAAATCCTTCCCAAATATCCTTAAAATATCTTCCGTTTCTGTCATTTCAATGTTTTTTATTCAGGTGAGGGAGATAAGAGCTTTCTAACCGGTTATGAGTCACCTACTTCATCAGTGAGAGAGGGTTACTTGACTTTGCAAATAACAAGAATATTGTTTTTCAGCCAAAACTTCCATTTTACAGCCTTTTACACCTCTGAAGCTGCCACATAAAGTACTTACCTAATGCTTTCTATAGAGAGCAGAAAATAGTAGTATTCTAAGAAGGAGCAGTGGGTTTTGAACTGATAGAAGCCTGAGTTTAATCCCTAAGTTTCATTCATGTCACTGGCACTTAGTAACTGTGATCTTATGCAGAATAACTGACCTCTCTAAGGTTGTGTTTCCTTTTCTGTAGAATAAATATATGATAAACATATATAAAATGCAAGTGGCTAAGAACTCAAAATATCATTCCTATTGAGAGCCATAGGCAACCACAGGCAGGAATGATCACCGCGTGCCAGGATTGCATGTGGAGAAAGGTAGAGAGCATTGTAGTAGGGCAAATGGCAGAAGAAAAGGCACAGAAGTGAGAATGCACATGGCTTAATAGGAGAACACTGAACCGGTGAGAGTGCCTGAGAACAGTGCACACATGAAGGAGTAGTTCTTGGTGAGGATGGAGTCCATGAGAAAGGAGCCAGCAGTTTTAATTTGCTTTTTAGCAAATAAGTTGGAAACAGCTTTAACTTAGATTCAGTCCTTACAGGAACTCTTCCCTTAGTGTGGTGCTTTATCAACATACTCAAAGCTCTAAATTTATTAAATTGCACTAAATCTTGTCTGCAAAACTTTTGGCACTATAGATCATTCCTTTACTGACAGGCTAACTCAACAACTCAACATTGCATCTTTCTTTCTTTCTCTCTCTCTCTCTCTCTCTTTCTTTCTTTTTTTTTTTTGAGGTGGAGCCTTGCTCTGTTGCCCAGGCTGGAGTGCAGTGGCATGATCTTGGCTCACTACAACCTCCACCTCCCAGGTTCAAGCGATTCTCATGCCTCAGTCTCTTGAGTAGCAGGATTATGGGCATGCTCCACCACACTAATTTTTGTATTTTTAGTAGAGACGGGGTTTTGCCATGTTGGTCATGCTGGTCTGGAACTCCTGACCTCAAGTGATCTGCCCACCTCAACTTCCCAAAGTGCTCTTTGCATATTTCTTACTTCCAAATATGCCATTGTTTTGCATTGTTTCAACAAACCTCTCTCCAAAAATTGCAAAATGATAAAACATTCTCTTTGTGGAGGGGGTGGTAGTTGGAAGAGGTGGGGGGACTCAACCGGATTCATTCACTCTTTAACCATTTTCAAAGATAATCAACTCTTTTTTAAAAAGCTTATTAGAATATAATACACATATAGAAAAGTATACAAAGTGAAAATGTACAGCAACATGATTCATCAAAAATCAAACACTTAATGAAAATGTCACCCAGGTAGAGATGTAGGACATTGCCAGCCCCCAGAAGTCCCATGGGGGCCCTCCCATTTACTACTTCATCCTTCTTCAAATGTAACCATCATCCTGATTTGCAGAGTAATCATTTCTTTATTTTATTTATACTTGTTCTGTAGCTTAGTTTTGCATTTTTAAAAGCTTTAATAATGGAATAGAATTATACATTAATGGTCTGTCTGCTTTTGCTCAATGTATTTGTGAGATTCACCCATTTTTTTGTAAATAGTATCTCATTCATTTTTATTGCTGTCTAGTACTCCATCAGTTGAATGTACCATAATTTACTTATCTGTTCTAGAGTTGATGGATTTTTAGGCTCTTTCATGTTTGGTCACATTACAAATAATGTTGCTGAAAACATTTCTGAGCTTGTCTTTTAGTGCACATGTTTGTGTATTTCTGCCAAGAAAATATCCATGATTGTAATTGCCAGGTTCTAGGACATAACCACAAACTGTTTTTGGAAGTGGCTGTACCAATTTATATTTCCTTAGGTAGTTCATTGGAGTTCCATTGTGTCCTACTCATGAAAACTTTGGTATTATCATAGTTTTCAATTGTAGACATTCTGGTGAGTGTGTAGTGATTTCTCATTGTGGCTTTTATTTGTATTTCCTGATGACCCATGTGATTAAGCACCTATTAATATGTCTGTTGACAATCTGTATAGCCCCTCTATAGGAACATCTATTCAAGTCTCTCAGCTGTTTTTAAATTGCACTGTCTGCTTTTTGAAAATTAATTTGTGGCCTTTCTTTTTATTTAACCTCATGATTACTGAATATGATTCTGTTTTGGAGTAACTCCCTGTGGCTAAATTAATGCTTTTGTACCCAGAAGTTCATGAACAGTGTAAAAGTTTACTGATTTTGTCAAGGAGACGAAATGTACATCAGCAGTACAATAAGTTAATGACCTAGTTCTGCATAACGAGAAGGGTCGCTCACTGAATTGTTCATTAAATGAAACTCTAGCTCATTCTCCTCTACCTTCTCTCTCACCATTCAAGTTTGCAGAATGGTTCCTCCCATTGGCCATGGGTCCTATGAAGATGTGAGATCATTTTTTATTCTCTACTACTCTGGTGCACTGTCACTGTGATGATGGATATGTTCTAATTGGAGAGGCTGAAGTCACCTGCAGAAATTCACATTGGTCAGCTCCAGCCCCTCAATGTAAAGGTTAACTCCAAACTTACTGAGGGCCCTTGCTAAGAAGGTAGAGCCTCTATGAAAGGTCAAACAAGAGTCTCCTCCTAGACAGAGGCAGCACTTAGAAATTTACACTTTACTTATTTATTTAATTTGCATAATTAATATATACACATGGTACAATATTTTAATAGCATGAATGATCACAGTTTATCACTCTTGAACACTACTGTTATCAATGTATCTTTCAGAGGTCATCTGGAAGGCCACTTTTTGCTTGAATAAAAGTTTTGATTTAAATATAACATACTACAACACTGTGTCCAAATCTTAGGTGTACAGGTCAATAAATTATCACAAAGTGAACCCACCATGACAAACTACCACTCAAGTCAAGAAGCATCACCACTACCAGCATCCCAGAAGTGTTCCGTGTGCCCTCTCCTAGTGACTCCCCAACTTTCCTTCCCAATTAGTCTCACCTCTAGCATCACAGATTAGTTTTATCAACTTTTTAGCATTATATTTAGATTGGTGCAAAAGTCACTGCGGTTTTTGCCATTACTTTGAATATAAAGGAAATCATGTATGTATTCTTTTGTGCCTGCCTTCTTTACTCAGTATTATGTTTTTGAAAATCATCTATGTGTTCTTGCATGGGGTGATAGCTTATTCATTTTCATTGTTGTATAATCTTTGGATAAACATAACACATTTTATGTATCTTATAAAAGTTTAGGATTTTCATGTTATAGGCTATTATGAACAATGCTCTTATGAACATTCTTGCACATGACTCTTGATACAAATGTGCAAATATTTATGTTGGGAATAAACTTAAAAGTGGAATTGCTATTTCATAGAGTATGCATCTATTCATCTCTTTTTTTTTTTTTTTTTTTTTTTGAGACAAGTTCTCATTTTGTCACCCAGGCTGAAGTGTAGTGGCATGATTATAGCTCACTGTAACCTCCAACTCCTGGGTTCAAGGGATCTTCCTGCCTCAGCCTCCTGAGTAGCTGGGACTACAGGCATACACCACCATACCTGGCTAATTTTTAAAAAGTGTTTTGTAGAGATAGGGCCTTTCTTTGTTGCCCAGGCTGGTCTTGAACTCCTGGGCTCAAGTGATCCTCCTTTACCTGCCTTGTCCTCCCAAAGTGTGGGATTACAGCTGTGAGCCACCACACCCAGCCATATATTCATCTTTAGTAGATAATGCCAAATTTTGTTCAACGGTGATTGCAACAATTTAAATTTCCACAAGCAGTGTATGAGTGTTCTAATTTTGATAAATAGAAGTTCTAAATTCTAATTTAGTTCTATTTATAATTTTTTTCCTTGATGTTGGCACCTTTCATATCCTGTTTAAGAAATATTTGCCTACAGCAAGGTCACAAAAAATATTTCCTTATGTTATTTTCCAGAGCTTTATTGTTTTAACTTTTCACATTAGTATCTCCAAATCACTTGGAATTCCTGTGTGTTTATGGTGGAAAGTAGTGGTTAAAATTTGTTTTTCTCCAACGGCTGTTCAATTAATCATATAGCACTTATTTAATAAACTATACTTTCCACACAACTCTGCAGTGTGACCTTTGTTATAATTCAAGTGTCTGTATATACAGGGTTCTGTTAGTGGACTTAGAGATACAATTTTTAATTTGAGAGTATCAGTGAGGATTTGGCAAAATTTTAGTGGGCATCTACTTAAGTTTAAATGAGGAATCCTGTGGGTAAATTCCCAACATCTTTGAAGTATTCGATGTCTCCATTAGAAACCATGCATGCTCCCACCTTCTCATAATGAAGTTGACCTGATAGGAGATTTTTGGTCAACCACAAGGATAGGGTCAACCTTTTTTTTTTTTTTTAACTAATCTATTAATAGCAACTCAAGGAGCTAATTCCCCACACTGTCTCCATTTAACACAGCAAGATATTAAGAATATGAGAATAAAAATTATATACTTAGGACCATGAAAAGATCAAGGTTTGGAAATACTGTACTAATTTTGAAAACTCTGACTCTAGGACCGCAGTGACTAGGTTTACATCATAATCATGCCACCCAAAGGCTATGCAATATTAGACAAGTCACACAAACTATCTGTACCTAATTTTTCTCTTTAGCAAAATGGAGGTAATAATGTTTTGCATTAGTACTTACATTGACATATAGTATGTGCAATAACATTATTAGCATTATTATTAATCTTATTGTTATAATCATAAATAAATGGAGGTAAAGAACAACTCTCAGCATCCCATCCAGGTATAATTTATCAATGTTTCATAACTCTCAATATTCTTACTATTATAAGATCTTATTCTGAGAATCATAGGATGATCAAAATTGTGTTTCCATTATAGCTCTGTGTCTGAAACCAGAGACAGAAAATGGAAAGCTGTCTGGGTAAGGATCTGTATGTTGAACTTGAAAATGTCACCATCCAGTGTGACTCTGGCTATAAAGTGGTTGGTCCTCAAAATATCACTTTGGTTGGTCCTCAAAATATCACTTGATCAGAGCACAGAACATGGCAGGCACCCAGAGGTGCCCAGTTGTGAGTGGGTAAGTGGCACACATTTCAGGGCATCCTATCCCATTCTAAAAATGATAGTCTCCTCCAGAGCACTGTCCTAGCCAACACCAGCGAGATCTGACTTTTGGCAAGATTTATTTCGGGCACATCACTTACAGAATTAGCACCGTCACCTTTGAAGCACTTTGGTGTACTTGTTAAGGTAAGCTCAAGAAGGACCACACCCCTAGATAGGAAGGTCTCATAGATCCAGCTGACTTGACCCCCAGCCTCATACTTTCTATAATAAATGCTATGCTTTTGCTTCATTTCAGATGGGCCCATCAGAATTGTCCCTTCTGTCGCCCCTAACGAGGCCCCCTGGGTGTTGTCTGCAGCGTTGTTCCTTCCCTGCTTCACCAGCTACTGATTGCTGCCTGACGGCCGAGGGAGAATACTTTGCTGAGACCCTAGTTTCTTTGGGATTTTATTCATCTGTCCTGAGGAGGGTTTTGACATTCCGGTTTTGTGGTCATCAGTGATACATCCAGAAGAAATCTTACATATTCGGATTTCATTTGGAGAGAAGCCTCTCAAAAACTATCGCTTTATTTCATTTAGGTAATCTCTGAAGGTTGTGAGCAAGTGCTCACGGGTAGAAAGCTCATGCAGTGTCTCCCACACCCAGAGGATTCGAAAATGACCCTGGAGGTGTAAAAGCTGTCTCTGGAGATTAAACGACTGGAACACGTGTGAGACTTGAAGACGAACAATGCCAGTTAGAAACCAGTTAGGAAGGATTTTCCTTCCCTTTCCCCACAAAACAGAGAAGCAGTTATATTTCTCTCTTTAGCAATTCTGTGTTTCTCAAGTACTATTATTTACTGGGGAAAAATATCTGTGTTTAGGAGAATTCACTAATATTCTTAGTGGCACCGATCACATGAAACAATTCATAATTTTTGTCTTAGTTCAGTTTAAGTTCCTGCTTTCCTGGATTTGGTGGACTGGCTGAATAAATAATTACCTATCAAAAATCAAATTATCTTTGTTTTTACTTTGATTTCTGAGTAATGAAAAATTAGGGCTCTCTGTAAGTCATTTTCTGATGTTTCTCAGATTAACTTACTTTTCTACTTTATTGTATATGTTGTCCTCAAAAAACACATACTTGCATCCTTTATCTGAAATATCTTTACCCTACATTTTCATTTCCTACTCTTCCTGACCTGTATCAGATCAAATATGCCATCTTCTTCTGAGTCTCCTCCATTCTGATTACTAGTATTTCTCTAGAGTAACTTCTTGTTTCCACTTTATACTTAAGGGATATTTGGTTTTGTTTGATATCCCTTTCACCCAATAATAACAAGCTTGAAAGTTATTCAAGCCATTCAAGATGGCTTGGCCATCTGCAAGCCAAGGAGAGAGGCTCGGAAGAAAACAAGCATGCTCATACCTTGATCCCAGACTCCCTGCCCCAGAACTGTGAGAATAAGAAAAACCAAAACTCTGTTGTTTAATCCCCCTAGTCTTTGATATTTTGTCATGGCAGCCCTAGAACACTGATATGGACACCAGTAAGAGAGTGAAAGGCAAGCTACAATCTGGAAAGCACTATTTGCAAAGCTCATGTCAAACTAAGGGCTTGTGCCCCCCAAATATAAAGAACTTTTACAAATAAATTTAAAAAGATAATCAACCCACCAAGAGAATGGAAAAAGACCTGAAGAACCTTCACAAAAAATGATATCCAATTGGTTTATAGACATAAGAAAACTTGGTTAACTTCATTAGTCATTAGGTAAATTAAAATCAAACACAAAGTACAATTTCAGAATTCATACTCAGAAGAATAGCTAAAATGATAAAATATCAAGTATTAGTAAAAATGTATTCCAACCGTAACTCTGAAAACCTGCTGGTGAAAGTATAAATTGGTCCAACTGCCTTACAAAATTCTTTGGCAACTAAGCTGAACATATGTCTACTCTATGATCCAGCAATTCTACCCCTAGAGATTACCTCTCAAAAATGCATCCGTATCTATTCACCTATGGACATGTGCTAGAATGTTTATAGCAGCCCTATTTACAATAACCCCAAACTTGAAATGATCAAAATGCTCATGAGTAGTAGAGGATAAATTAATGGTGATACATCATATGACGAAATATACCGCAACAATGAAATGAATGATTATACAGATGAATTTCAAAACAGAAAGTGTTTAGTGAAAGATGCCAGATACAAAAGATGTACATACTGTTTTGTTTCATGTATGTAATGTATAAAAACAGGCAAAAGTAATTCATAGTGTTTAAGTCAAAATAGCAATTTCCCCCGGGATGGGGGTATGAGGAAGGCTTTGGAAGTCCTGGTAATGTTTTGTTTCTTCATCTGGGTGATGTTACATGGGTATGTTCAGTGTGTGAAAAGTCAACTAGCTCTGCATTTGAGACGATGTGCTTTTTTGCATGTAAAATATTCTTCAATAAAAATTAAATTAAAAATTGTAAAGAAGGTGAGTCTTCTTTTTTTTCTTTTTTTTTGAGACAGAGTCTCACTCTGTAGCCCAGACTGGAGTGCGGTGGTGCAATCTCAGCTCACTGCAACCTCTGCCTCCTGGGTTCAAGCGATTCTCCTGCCTCAGCCTCCCAAGTAGCTGGGATTACAGGCACGTGCCACCACACCTGCCTAATTTTTGCATTTTTAGTAGAGACAGGGTTTCACCATGTTGGCCAGGCTGGTCTCAAACTCCTGACCTCAAATGATCTGCCTGCCTCGGCCTCCCAAAGTGCTCGCATTACAGGCGTGAGCCATTGCACCTGACCAAGGGTTTTCTATACCCCACTGATCTCGGGGCGGGGTAATGGCTGGTCTTCCCATTGACGTAGAATATCCTTACCCATAATGCAGTCAGATATAGGAGAAATTGCTATATTCCTCACAACAGGATTCATCTTTTCAGTGCTTATATTGGCCACATTTTTTTTTTGTTTACAACTACACCTGATATCCCCAAGGTTACTCTGTCCCCAGTTAGGTGGAAAATGTGAATAAGTCCCAGAATCTGTAAGTTTCATCTACACTGTTTTGGCTCCCTGCAGGAAAGAATAACCTAGGTGTTAGATTTTGTTGGTTTTTTGTCTATATTATTCCAATACTATTTCTCTGGACCAGATTCTTGGAAGCTAAAGGTATAGTTTTCATGCCCCATTGGTAAGGTCTACTTCTATCATGCCTCTCAAAGTGATATGGTTTGGATTTGTGTCCCCTTTGCCTTCCACCATGACTGAAAGTTTTCTGAGGCTCTCTCAGCAGTGCTTCCTACACAGCCTGTGGACTGTGAGCCAATTAAACCTCTTTTATTTGTAAATTACCCAGCCTCAAGTTTTTTCTTTCTTTTTTTTTTTTTTTTTTTTTTTGTGACAGAGTTTCCCTCTGCTGCCCAGGCTGGAGTGCAGTGGTGCGATCTCGGCTCACGGCAAGCTCTGCCTTCTGGGTTCACACCATTCTCCTGCCTCAGCCTCCCGAGTAGCTGGGACTACAGGCACCTGCCACCACACCTGGCTAATTTTTTTTTTTTTTTTTTTTTTTTTGAGACGGAGTCTCGCTCTGTCGCCCAGGCTGGAGTGCAGTGGCGGGATCTCGGCTCACTGTAAGCTCCGCCTCCCGGGTTCACGCCATTCTCCTGCCTCAGCCTCCCAAGTAGCTGGGACTACAGGCGCCCGCCACTACGCCCGGCTAATTTTTTGTATTTTTAGTAGAGACGGGGTTTCACCACGTTAGCCAGGATGGTCTCAATCTCCTGACCTCATGATCTGCCCACCTCGGCCTCCCAAAGTGCTGGGATTACAGGCATGAGTCACCGCGCCCGGCCGGTCTCAAGTATTTCTTTATAGCAGTGCGAGAACAGACTAATCCACGGGCTTTAGCTATCTCATAGTATCACATCTCTCCCCTTCATTGTCCTGTTTCCTCACAGAGACTTGGCTATAACGGGCATGGGGTCTTGCATGAATCCCAATGTCTATGCAATGATAGTATTTATAGTATTGACAAACGTCAAGAGGAGGCTCTGATGGATGCGGACATCAGATGCTTGGGTAAATCAAAAGATACAGAAATATGGGAGGACATTATCAAGGTCTGGATACAGGCAGAGAGATTAGTCACATTTTCCAGATTAGTTTCCAGGCAAGTTTCCAGCTTTCAAAATCTTCACAGCAGATTCACAGTTGAGATGATTTTATCTGAATGAGTGAGAGCCTCATGAGAACTTTGGAAATGCAAATATTCCCTTCTAAGCATTGCCTTATAAGACTAGAGCAATTCTAGACACGGGCTGCTTTTGATATAGGCTAAGCCAACTCAGCCAGGTCACGTGTACCTCATCGATATATGACTTCAGGTGTAATGACTCAGCTTTCCTGGCTGATATAGCCCACACCCAGTACACTCCTTACCTAACACTGGGTAGTTACTCAAATGTCTCTTGACATCAGACTGATAGCCCATTAAGGCCTACCCTATATTTATTCTCTGTACTTGAGTCATTATGTGTTTCTTAAATTGAACCAATGTCTTCAAGCCGGAAAACCACAGTTTCTTCACATCTTCTCTTTTCCTTATATCTAATCAGTCATTTAATTCATTTCCTTCTTACTTTGAAATGTTTTCGAGAGAATGGAAAAATGTTTGTGTTAGAATTATGGGATAATTTCTACAATATAGGTCTATTTTTAAAATTTCATTTACCCCAGTTCCAACTATTATTTGACCCAAAATGGATCTTCATCCAGTCCTTTGACTCTTGTACTTCCATTATTCTTCACGTCTCGTTTTACCAAGAAGGGTTAGAAATCTTTCAAACAAGCATGTTCAAGAATGATTTTTAAACAGGAGGTTGAGAGCCTATGCAAAGAAATGACTATAGAAATCAGTGACATAATCTAAATATATCCCCAATTCTGTCATTTCTAATCACATTTACACTATCACCCTGGCCTAAAACACCATCACTTCTGGACTAGATTACTACAATAGGCTTCTGGCTTTAGGCTTCTTCTCTTACCTCCTCATAGCAGTCATGGAGAGCTCAAGTGGTTGTTCCTCTACTCAGAATTCTTGATTAGTTTTTTCTCAAAGACTAATTTTATATATTATTTTCTGACTTCTGTCATTTCTGAAGAGAAGTCAGCAGTTATTCAAAGTATTCCCTGTATGTAAGCACTGTCTTTTTCCTGGATGCTTTTAAGATTTCCTCTTTATTTTTGGTTTTCAGCAGTTTGACTATAATGTGCCTAGGCATGGTTTTCTTCATATTTGTTCAGCTTGAGTTTCACTGAACACCTTGAACCTGTAAATGTACCTCTTTTCTCAAGTTTGAGAAATCTATTTTTTCAGATAATTTTACTACTTCATTCTCTTTTTCCTATTATGGAACTCCAATGACATGTTTATTTGGTTATCTGATATTGTCTTATAAGTCCTGAGGCTCTGTTTTTTATATAAATGTTTTATCTTTCTCTACTTCAGACTGGACAATTTCTGTTGATTTATCCTTAAGTTCATTGGCTCTTTCCTTTCATTTCCATTCAACTGCCAAGTTCCTCCAGTGACATTCTTATTTCAGAGGGTACGTTTTAGTTGTAGAATGTTTTGATGCCTTTTTTTTTTTTTTTTTTTTTTGAGATAGAGTCTCGCTCTGTAGCCCAGGCTGGAATACAGTGGCGCGATCTCGGCTTACTGCAACCTCCGCCTCCCAGGTTCAAGTGATTCTCCTGCCTCAGCCTTCAGAGTAGCTGGGACTACAGGTGCATGCCACCATGCCTGGCTAATTTTTTGTATTTTTAGTAGACACGGGGTTTCACCATGTTAGCCAGGATGGTCTCTATCTCCTGACCTCGTGATCCACCTGCCTCGGCCTCTCAAAGTGCTGGGATTACAGGCTGTGCCTGGCCAATGCTTTTTAATATTTTATTTTCTACTGAGATTTCTTATCTACCTATTCATTACCAAGCATATATACCTTTACATCACTGAGCATATTTATAATGGCTGTTTTAAAAAACTTGCCTGCTAATTCCAACATTTGTATCATCTTAAAGACAGTCACCATTGACTTTCCTTTCCCTTAACTGGAGTTCAGATTTTCTAGTTTCTTCATATGTCCAGTAATTTTGAATTGTATCCTGGACATTATAAATGGATTCTATTATATTCTCCCCAAAAAGAAAGTTATTTTTGTTTGTACTATTTTTTGTTTTTCATTTAAACAGACAACTAACTTACTTGCATCCAACCTGAAAACTCTCTCTCTCTGGAGCAGCCCAAATCTCAGTTTACTTCTTTTATCCTTAGCTGCTCTGTTTTTAGTCTGTCCTGCTCATGGGTGATTCAGAGATCAGCCAGAGATTTGGGCAGAGTTTATACACAGGATGGGCTCTTCTCTTTGGTTCTTTAATTTTTATGACTCCCATAATTTTCTAGTGGCTGTTGCTGCCCAAAGCTCTGTTTTTTTCAAACCAGGAAGACTTGGTTTTGTCTCAGAGTTTTAGCCATGCCACATCATGTCAACTTTGATATTCTCTCAGGCTAAAAGGCATAACAAATGGGAAGTTTGATCTATGGTGTCCCCTTCTTCTAAGACTTATTGCTCCTTTAGAATGTATCTGCTTTTGTTCACTTTCTGGTTCCCTAAGGTAGGATTTTTGTTGTTTTCTTCCGTATTTTATTCAGAGTTTAGAATTGCTATCTGTGGGAGGGTGGGACCAGTAGACACTTACACAGCTATACTGAAAATTGAAGTCTTCATCCTCTTACCCATATTCAGTCTTTTGAGCTTGCAGAACATGATGTTCCCTCTTCAGACAAAACTTTTCTCCTTGGTATTTTCATGGCTCACTCCCTCACTCAATTCAGGCCTTTACTCGAATGTAACTTATTCAGAGAAGCCTTCCTTGACCATATCATCTAACGTGTGCTGCCCATCCCACCTCACACCTTACCACCCAGCACATTACTCTGTGTTATTTTTCGTCATGCTACTTCTTTCTCTGACCTTGTATATATTTATTTATCTGGTTTATATTTATTTTTCTCACTAGACTATAAGCTCCTTGAGTATGGCATTTTTTGTCTGCTTTGGGTAGTGTGGCATTCCCAGCACCTAGAATATTGCTTGGCTCATCGTAGGGGCTCAAGAGATATTTGTTCAATGATTAGTTCATATTAGACGCTTAAAAATACATCTACACACAAACATGTACAACCAATTTTTTATGAAGGTGCAAATGTAAATCAAAGGAGAAAGGATAGCATTTTTGAGAACAACTGAACATCTACAGGCAAATAAATAAATAAATCTTGATGTAAACCTCATACCTTATATAAAAATTAACTCAAAATAAATCCTGGACTTAAATTTGAAACATAAAACTAGAAAAAGAAAAAAAACACATGAGAAAAATCTATGAGATCTAAGATTTAAGTGTAAAGTATAAAACTATAGCACTTACAAAATCTTGGGAAATAGCATAGGGGTAGGCAAAGATTGTTTAGATTTGACACCGAAAGCGCACTCCATTAAATGGAAAAATTGATAAATTGGATCTCGTTAAAAGTACTCCAGGGTGGGGTGTGGTGGCTCACACCTGTAATCCCAGCACTTTGGGAGGCCAAGGTGGGTGGATCACGAGGTCAGGAGTTCAAGACCAGCCTGGCCAAGATGGTGAAATCTCCAGTCTCTACTAAAAATACAAAAATTAGCTGGGTGTGGTGGCACATGCCTGTAATCCCAGCTACTCGGGAGGCTGAGGCAGAGAATTGCTTAAAACCCACGAGGCGAAGGTTGCAGTGACCTGAGATCACGCCACTGCACTCCAGCCTCAGGGACAGAGCAAGACTCCCTCTCAAAAAAAAAAAAAAAAGTACTCTGGTACACCCATACCCCATACTATGGAGTACTATTTGGCAGTAAAAAAGAAAAAAAATGGATGATTGACACATATAAAATCTTAAATGAATGTCATAGGAATTATGCTGAATAAAAAACATATAATCCAGAAAGTTTATATACTCTAAGTTTACACACTGTATAATTCCATTTATATAACATTGTTGAAAATGACAAAATTTTAGATATCAAAACCAGATTAGTGGCTGTCAGAATTAGAGGTGAGGGGGATGGGCATGAGGGAGGTGAGTGCGTTATAAAAAGGCAACATGGGTAATCCTTGTGTTGATGGAATTCTTCTGTATCTTGACTGTGATGGTGGATACACCAATCAACATATGTGATAAAACTGTGTAGAACTGAATGCACATGCAAACAAACAAGAATACAAATAAAGTGAGAAATTTGAATAATATCAGTGGATTATATCAATGTTAATATTTGTTTATTATTTCATAGCTCTTAATTATTTCCTTTTGTGATGACTTGGGGGGAAGGAAATAGTATCTCTGCTTTCTAGATATTAACCCCATTTCTTATCTTCTTTGTCTCTACCTAATTACCTAGTTTTCTGTGACAGTTATTTACATTATTTTAAAAGTACTAGATTTTAAATTAATGAGATTGAAGCCATAATAAAAAGTCTTCCAGTAAAGAAAAGCCAAGGACCTAATGGCTTCACTGCTGAAATCTACCAACATTTAAAGAAATGTTAATACCACTCATACTCAAATTATTCCAAAAAGTAGAGGACAGAATACTTCTAAATTCATTCTAGGAGGCCAATATTACCTTGATACCAAACCCTGAAAGAGACACGTCAAAAAAAGAAAAAAAAGAAAAAAGAAAGAAAAAAGAAAACTACAGGGCAATAACTCCAATGAATATTGATGCAAAAATCCTGAACGAAATACTAGCAAATTGAATTCAGCAATACATTAAAAAGATCATTCATCATGACCAAGCAGGATTTATTCCAGGGATGAAAGGATGGTTCAACATAATGCAAATCAATCAGTGTGATACATCACATCAACAGAATGAAGGACAAAAACCATATGATCATTTCAATTGTTGCTGAAAAGGCACTTGATAAAATTCAACATCCCTTCATGATAAAAAAAAAAACCTAAAAAAACTAGGTATAGAAGGAAGATACCTCAATATAATAAAAGCCATATATGACAGACCCACAATTAGTATCATATTAAATGGGGAAAAACTAAGAGCCTTCCCTCTAAGATCTGGGACATGACAAGGACTCCCACTTTAACCACTGTAATTCAACATAGTACTGGAAGTCCTAGCTAGAGCAATTAGACAAGAGAAAGACATAAAGGGCATCAAAATTGGAAAGGAAGAGTCAAATTATAATGATTTGCAGATGACGTGATCTTATATTTGGAAAAATCTAAAGCCTCCACCAAAAAACTATTAGAACTGATAAACAAATTCAGTAAAATTGCAGGATACAAAATTCACATACAAGAATCAGTAACATTTCTATATGCCAACAGTAAACAATCAATCTGAAAAAGAAATAAAAAAGTAATTCCATTTACAATAGCCACAAACAAAATTAAATGCCTAGGAATTAACCTAAGAAGTAAAAGATCTTTACAATGAAAATTATAAAAACACTGATAAAAAAATTTGAAGAAGACATCAAAAAATGGAAACATATTCCATGTTCACGGACTAGAAGAATCAATATTTTTAAAAAGTTCATACTATCCAAAGCAATCAACAGATGCAGTGCAATTCCTATCAAAATACCAATGACATTCTTCATAGAAATAGAAAAAAACTATCCTAAAATTTATATGAAACCACAAAAGACCCAGAAGAGCCATGGCTATCCTAAGCAAAAAAAAAAAAAAAAAAAAAAATGGAGAAATCATATTACCTGATTTCAAATTATACTACAGACTGATAGTAACCCAAACAGCATGGTACTGGCATAAAAACAGACACATAGACCAATGGAAGAGAAAAGAGAACCCAGAAACAAATCCACGGACCTACAGTGAACTCATTTTCAACAAAGGTGCCAAGAACATACACTGAGGAAGACAGTTTCGTCAGTAAATGGTGATGGAAAAACTGGATATCCATTTGCAAAAGAATGAAACTAGACCCCTATCTCTCAGCGTATACAAAGATCAAATAGAAATGGATTAAAAACTTAAATCTAAGACCTCAAATTATTTCACTGCAAGGAAACATCAGGGAAAATCTCCAGGACATTGGTCTGGGCAAAAATTTCTTGAGTAATACCCGAAAAGAACAGGCAACCAAAGCAAAAATGGACAAATGGGATCATATTACATTAAAAACCTTCTGCACAGCAAACAAAACAGACAAGCCACAGAATGGGAGAAAATATTTGCAAACTACCGATCTGCCATGGGATTAATAACTAGAATATATAAGGAGCTCAAACAACTCTACAGGAAAAAAATTTCATAATCTGATAAAAAGATGGGCAAAAAGGTTTGAATAGACATTTCTCAAAAGAAGATACAAATGGCAAAGAGGCATATGAAAAGGTACTTAACATTACAGATCATCAGAAAAATGTGAATCAAAACTAAAATGAGCTATCATCGCCAGTTAAAATGGCTTTTATCCAAAAGATAGGCAATAATAAATGCTGGTGAGGATGTAGAGAAAAGGAAACCCTAGTTCACTGTAGGTGGGAATGCAGATTAGCACAACCACCACGGAGAACAGTTTGGAGGCTCCTCTAAAAGTAGAGCTACCATATGATCCAGCAGTCCCGCTGCTGGGTATATACCCCAAAGAAAGGAAATCAGTATATTGAAGAGATATCTGTAATCCCATGTATGTTTTTTTTGCAGTCCTCTTCACAATATCCAAGATTTGGGAAGAACCTAAGTGCCCATCAACAGATGAAAGGATCTATTGAAATGTGGCACATATACACAATGGAGTATTATTCAACTGTAAACAAGAATAAGATCCTGTTATTTGCAACAACATGGATAGAACTGGAGGTCATTATGTTAAGTGAAATGAGCCAGGCACAAAAAGACAAACATCACATGTTCTCACTTCTTTGTGGGATCTAAAAAATCAAAACAATTGAACTCATGGAGATAGAGAGTGTAGAAGGATGATTACCAGAGGCTAGGAAGGGTATCGGGGGTGAGCTGGTGGGGGATGTGGGGATGGTTAATTGGTACAAAAAAATAGAATGAATGAATGAATAAGACCTAGTATTTGATATCACAACAGAGTGACTATAGTCAATAATAATTTAGTTGTACATTTAAAAATAACTAAAAGAGTATAATTGGATTGTCTGTCACAAAAAGGATAAACGCTTGAGGGGATGGACACCCCATTCTCCATGATGTAATTATTACATATTGCATGCCTGTATCAAAACACTTCATGTACCCTATAAATAAATATACCTACTATGTACCCACAAAAATAAATAATTCCAACATTTTTAAAAAAGCAAGAAAGGTAAAAGCACTAGGTTTTAGTGGAAAGCACAGATTTGATTCAGATTCGTGAACCAAATAAGTGGCTAAAACTTTACAGATAAGTGGCTGAACCACTTATTTGGGTACAGACAGGCCTGACAAAATTACTCAGACAATATTTGAGTGGGACATTCCTTGTGGTTTTTCCTGATTTACCTAAGTCACCTAATAAGTCACACTTGGTGCCATTCTGATCTGTTGAAAGAGGGAAGTGTGGTGCCTGAAGCACTGAAAAGCATGCGGGAGAAGGTGATAACAAGGCTCAGGTAATGAGGCTCAGGCACCTATTATCTGTAAAGTTTTGGCCAAATGTCACCTACACTTTTCTGGAAAGGTGATTTTAAAAAACCATAGGCTGTCATAAGACTAAATGTGATCATTTATGGAAAGTGCTTAGAACATAGAGGTGCCTAATAGGTAAAAGAGTCATCTAACGAACGCTCTAAATTCCTTGTTTTTTCTAACTAATATTCAGTTATTGTCTTAGAGTCTCTTCTAAAGTTAAGTCAATTCATGACGAACTTATGTGCTTTCCTTCTTTTTAGGGAGGTTAAAATTTAATCATGCTGTAATAAATGTTACATCATAATTTACCGAGTTACTTTTGGTAAATGAGAACTAAGTGCTTTGGATTTTGAACTCCTGTAACAGTCTTTGCAGCTGAACTAGGTAGGCAGGTCATTTTCAGGCCTTTCCCAAAACTCATCTTCTTGTAGTAAAAATCAGCATATTTATTATTATTATATTATTATTCAAGTATTATTTCCCATGAATTATAATTATGTACATAAACAGCTTATCTTTTACTGCCTTTTTTCAGAGACATAACACCAGGCTGAGTGTGGCTTTTGGCTGATTGAAAACCATGCAAGCATTCTTCAGGTCTGATGGAATCTTGCTGTCTGTGTATGTTCCCACTTGCAGCCACATGCTCCTGCATGCTTTTCAGTGCTTCAGGCACCACATTTCCCTCTTTTAACAGACCAGAATGGCACCAAAGTGTGACTCATTAGGTGACTTAGGTAAATCAGGAAAAACAAAAAGGAATGTCCCACTCAAATATTGTCTGAGTAATTTTGTCAGGCCTGTCTGTATTCTTGAGGTTTTTTTTTTTTTTTTTCCGTATTTCTCTTTCCCCCTCAGGCTTTAGAACTTTTGGAAGGAAATGTAACTTTCCTCATCAATTTTGTTTTGTTTGTTTTTTAATTTCATCCTTCTGTTGGCAGTCCAAATTCATAACTGAAGCCACACCTTGTCCTAAGTAGGCAGTGCTGCTCAGGATGGCTTTCTCTCACGCTGTGATTTCCTGACTCGAGTGGATCTCACACTCAGACTTATCACACTCAAGGTTTGCTTTAAGGGTGACTGAGCCTGCCCACTCTGAACCAAAGTCCTTTTTTTCCATCCCTTATTTGTTTTTTCACTCAAAAATGAATTACTTACATTCCTAGATAACAATCTCTTTTAAGTACAGCTCCTATCCTGTAAGGAAAAGATTAGGGTTCTATTGCTAAATGGCTTCAGAGTTCCACAAGGTTACTTACTCCTTGCATCAGAGCCCCTGATGCTAAAATTGAAGTTTTGAGTGTCCTTTGACTCAGTTGATTCTAGGAACCCTGATTCCACCCTCTTGCCCTGAGCTCTTCCTTAATGCAGAGCTTGGTCTTGACCTGACTTTGCCCCAGGGTGTAGCTGCTACTGGCTATTGGACAGCTGACCTCCAGTTTGGCAGAGGCTGCTGCTAGTTCTCTCTCTTTCCTTTAGTTGTTTCTAGGTGGAATCTGTGACCTTCGGGCTTCTGTCAGTGCAGGTCAACATGTACCATGAGGCCTGCGTCAGGGAGCAAACCACCCTCCCATCCCTGTATCTCATGCCTATCCAGCCTACACCGTGAGCCAGGCATTCCTAGTGCACAGGGCCCCAGGAAAGCCTGGGTAAAGTGCACAATCAATGAAAGGAAGGTAGTTTACATCAATCAATTGCAAAGATATTTATTCCATGTTAGGAATTTTATAAGTATGGTCAAATTGTAGTAATTTACACCAATTTGTGGGAGGCATAATAAATTATTTTATTAATGTTGTTTATTAACAAATTAATTATTTTATTAATGGTATAATAAATTGTTTATTAACTTCCATTTTATTTAAGGAATGTTTAACTACAATTTTTTTAAGTTTTAATACTTTTAAGTATATGCTAATACCATTACTAGGGGATTAAAAAAACTTGGTTTGTGTATATTCCTGGGGATCTACCCTAGTAAACAGATAAAGATGAAGTGCAGGCAGCTTCGCTTCCTTACATATAAATATAAATACAAAAGTGCTTAAAATTCCTTTACCTCTTAAATGAGTTCATTATCACCTGCTGTATTTTTGTTTAACAATTGGCTGTCACATTTTACCATCCAGAAAGCAAAAGTGAAATTTTTATTGTTGTCACAAATTCTGAGAAAACGAACTAGAACCTACATTTATAAGGTATGTGTAAAAGTTCTCTGTAAACCATAAAACATTATATAAATACAAGGTTTTATTTTTGCAGTTTGGTAAGTAATTTTCATTATTCAAATACTTAAATTTTTTTCCTTAAAATTTTTGTTTGTTTGTTTGTTTGTTTTGAGACAGAGTCTCGCTCTGTCGCCCAGGCTGGAGTGCAGTGGCATGATCTCAGCTCACTGCAAGCTCCGCCTTCTGGGTTCACGCCATTCTCCTGCCTCAGCCTCCCGAGTAGCTGGGACTACAGGCGCCCGCCACCAAACCCAGCTAATTTTAGTGTATTTTTAGTGAGACGGGGTTTCACCGTGTTAGCCAGGATGGTCTCGATCTCCTGACCTCGTCATCTGCCCGCCTCAGCCTCCCAAAGTGCTGGGATTACAGGCGTGAGCCACTGCAAATTGTTTTCTATAAATGCAAAACACAGGGTATTGTTGAGGTTGGTACGTAGGGAAGTGCTTGCAGATTCTGAGTTTGTGCAGTTCTTGCAAGTTTTCACAGGGCAATGTCTCTTTATCACAAAACACTTCTCAAATAACTTCAGTTAAAAAAAAGTCTCCTCTGCTGCTGACTTTATGTCTAAAGGTCCTTCATTGCCCTCAAGTAGCACAGGCAGCAAGTTGTAAAGAACACAGACCACGTGGAGCAAAACTAAACTGACTGCTCCTCACTAGCTGTGTGACTTTGGGCAAGTAGATTTACCTCTCTGTGGTTCTGTTTTGTCATTTGTAAAATGAGGATAATAATAATGCCTATCTCATGTGGTTGTTGGGGGAGTTTATATTTGTTAAATGGTTAAAACATTACCTGACAAATTATAGTAAGCATTTATACATACGTTTTTATTTACTTATTTATTTAGAGACAGGGTCTCGCTCCGTTGCCCACCCAGGCTGGAGTGCAGTGGTAGGATCTCAGCTCATTGCAACCTCTGCCTCCCAGGTTCAAGTGATTCTCATGCCTCAGCCTCCCAAGTAGCTGGAATTACAGGCAAGTGCCACCATGCCGAGTAATTTTTGTATTTTAGTAAAGATGGGGTTTCACCATGTCGGCCAGGCTGGTCTCCAACTCCTGGCCTCAAGTGATCTGCCTGCCTTGGCCTCCCAAAATGCTAGGATTACAGGCATGAGTCACTGAGCCCGGCTTACATTTTTAAAATATTTTAAATTATTGAAAGAAATAGTTCTATAGAAGGTGAGAAGTCAATTCTGCTTCCTCCAAATACTTATACACATACCCACTTTCCTTAATTCTTAGCCACATGGTAATGTGAGGGAAGGCATCCCCTTTGTGAATTATGTCATGTTATTTTATTGGCAATGGCATTGATTGGGAAGCATAAAAGTCTTCCAATAAATCCCTTTAGTTCTGTGCTGCTTTCTTTAATGAATCAGAAGAAAACACCCTCTTTCTCTCTCCCTCCCTCTCCGTCTCTTCCTCCCCTTCTCCCCTCTGCCCTCTGTCTCTCTCACTATCCAAGTTTGCAATTCGCTTCCCCGGATTACACACTGACACTATGAAAATATTAGTGAATTCCTCACTCAGCACTCTAATGCAGTGTGAATGCAAGCAAGGATATGCTCTGACTGGAGCAGCTAACATCTGCAGGTTTGCAGGTTGTTCATCTCTAGCTTCTCAACGCAACGGGAATCCAAACTCCCCAGCCAAAATAGTGCTGAGCAGCTAACCACTACAGAGTGGCTCAGAAGTGACTTGGAGGGAAGTGTTCCTCCCAGCCAGAGGCAGTTGCCATGGGTCAGTGCTTGAGTCTGAGTGAGGTGGGTCATGGTTCAATTTCAAATATCCAAGAAATAGCACCATTACTCCCCAGTTTATATGTAGTCCAAAACCTTTCGTGAGATAGTTGACCTATGGGGTTGACCCCACTGTTGGTCAAATGACTGTTATGACAGAATAAGCAAAATATTTCTTAAAAGGTTATTTACATTATTTTACCCAGAACAATTCCAGGAGCTAAGTCATCATCACTGCTTTTATTTTACACAGGGGAAAACCGAGGCAAGAAGAGAAGTCCTGTTGCATAGAAAGAGAGAGCTCAGAAACTGGAATTAGATGCCCTGGGTTCACATCTTGGCTCTGCGTCTTAAAAGGTGCTGTGTGATTCAGCTTCTCCATCCCTCAGCTTCCTTATCTCTACAGCAAATATGCTCCTACAGGGTTGCTGAAGGCTTACATGAAATAATGCATGTAATACGCTTGACACGTAGGCTGACATCTAGCAAGTGTTCAGTAAATATCAGCTAGTAAATAACAGCTACCACTCAGCTAGTGGTAATGCTGGTTGACGTGATGGGGTGGTGATAGCAGTGGTATCAAGAGTAGCGGAGAAAGAAAAGACAAAATTCAGCAAGATTTCTTATCCCTTTTATTAATTATCAGTGTCCAAATGTGTTTTTTCTGAGGTTCATAAGATGCTAAGGTAATGTGTTTTGACTACAGCTCTGTACCTAAAACCAGAAATATTAAATGCAAAGCTGTCTGTGGAGAAGAATTGGTATACCAGTCTTGAAACTGTCACCACCAATATGACCCTGGCTATTGGATGTTTGGCTCCCAGAGTGTCTTTTGCTCAGAGAACAAATCTTGGAGTCTGGATGTGTACAAGTGCAAGAGGATAAATAATATGCATTCAATGAATTTTATATATGATACCTCAAAATAAATGATAGGAAAATGGGATGGTTCATAAAATGGGAAAAGTAGTAATATCTCCTAAAGGATGGTCTCAGTTGTTGCGGTTAATTTATAAGGTGTTTACAGGTACTGGTTCTTTCTACCCTGAAGCATTGTGATAAATCCGTGGTGGTAGCAAAGTTTATTGCATTTGTTTTACAGGAAGTCAGCAGAGTCTTATTAAACAGTTGCCCTGGCCCTGGGCCTCAGTATTTCTCTATTATTTGATGTGGTTTTCTGGTGAATTAGTAGAACTGGATCCCCCTGCAGCTTAAGCCTCCTCTTTGCTTGTACTGATTCTGATTATTGCCTAAGAACAGATATAGATTCAACTCTCAGGGAAATATTTTGCTAGGATCCAAAGTATTTTTCTGGAGTTTCCTGCCCATGCATCCTGGGGTCATTCCTTACCTTCTAATCCTCCTGTCACAAGCCTTCCTGAAAAGCTTTGATTTCCTCTTTCCATTCATTTCATTTCATTTCATTTTGATTTCCTCTTTCAGAAAGTCTCTGAAGGCTGTGACATAGTCATGGCAGGCAAAACCCTCTTACACCGTCTCCCAGGTCACAGGGTCTCAATAGTGGCCCTACAGTTACATAAACTGTCTCTACAGATGGAAAAACTGAAGCAAGAGAGAGACAAGGAGAAAATCATTTAAATATACCATACCTCTATTCCCAAGAAGATGGAGAAAGGATTTGCTTTTCTATACAGTTCTTGAGAGAAAACCTCAGTTTATCAACTCCATTTAAGTATCATTATTTATGGCAATAAATAACTTTGGCAAAACTTGCTAATACACATGTGACCTTAGAATGTGAAATTATTAATTTATATCAGTGTAATTCAGCTGAAGATTTTACTTTTCTGAATTTGGCAGGCTAACTGAAGTAAATAATTACCTAATAAAATCAGTTTGACCTAATTTTCATTTGAATGTCTATGTCATATAATGTCAGTGCTCTATACAAGTTCACTCCCTACAGTTTTTCTTTTCCATTTTATTATATCTCAGTGGTTGTGAAGGGTGAAGAGTTACATAACAGTGTTCATGTGATTCTCTCTCTCTCTAGACATCAGTGCAGAGTTTAGTAAATCATATTCCTTAGTTCATAAGAGGCTATTATCCTTGGTCAAGGTAAAAACCCTTCTCTGCTTTCTTCCCTTATCTCTTGACTGCCATTCCCCATTTTCCTCTCTCCACTCCCATAGGTACCTACTCTAATGTGTGTGATACATGACGTTTAGTGTGCACACAGATTGTGAATGTGTATATGCTTTTCACCTTCCTTGCTCCCAAGTACTACATAGTATTCTAATACATGCATCCTCCATATTTTGTTTATCCATTCCCCTTGGGATGAACACCTAGGTTGCCTCCAGCTTCCCTTTACTATAAATGACTTTGTGATGAGTATCCTTGTATATGTCTCTTTATAAAACTGCTTGAGGTTTTCTGTTGTATATATGCCCTAGAAAGTAGATGCAGTATCAATTAATTTTGCTGTGTAGAAGAGTTATTTTGTCTCCATTGTCACACAAACATATAGGATTACTTACCTTACTAATTTTTAATATTCTGATTTATTATCACATTTTAATATCTGTAAAATCTGTAGTAATGCCACTTTTCTCCTTTTCTCATTCCTGAGATTAATAATTCACATTTCTCTCTTTTTTCTTCCTGCTCAGTCTGTCTATAGGTTTTATAAATATTTTTTGATTTCTCAGATAATTAGCTTTTTGTTTTATTGATTTGCTCTACCGTTTTTCTTTGCTATTTCATTGCTTTCTGCATGGATCTTTATTTCTTCTGCTTACTTTGGGTTTAATTGGCTCTTCTTTCCAGTTTCTTAAGATGAAAACCAAGGTAATTGGCTTAGACCTTTGTTTCCTTTCTAATAAACACTTTGCTGCCATAAATTTCTGAGAACTGCCATGTGGCATTCCACAAATTTTAATATGTTGTACTTTCAATTTCATTCACTTCAAAATACATTCTAAATTCCTTTTCAATAAAAATAGTTGTTTTATGTTATGGTATGTTGGGATTGTTTTGCAGCAAAGCCAAACAAAAACTTCCTTCTACTTTGCTTGCAATTTGATAGGCTAAGGTAGAGAAAGAACTGCAATGGCACCCAAATTATCAGTCCCAGGCGTCTTGCAGGGCTCATTACATGTGTGACAGGTTCAACTTACGAAGAACTGATCTAGGTTTTGACATGTGAAATAGTTCACTTTTTGTTGTTTTGTCGAGGTGATAGTAAGTGTAGCCTTTGTGGTAGACTGTTCTCAAGAAAAGCTGACAGAAATCTTCTAGGAAGAGATGGAGAACTTGACTGAGGATAGAAAGGAGTGTGAGAGAGGCTTGTTTTCCTAATGCTGCTACAGACACTCTGATGTCAGGGAGCTTCTCTTTTTTTCTTTTTTTTTTTTTTTTTTTGAGACAGAGTCTCGCTCTGTCACCCAGGCTGGAGTGCAGTGGCCCAATCTCGGCTCACTGCAAGCTCCACCTCCCAGATCCACGCCATTCTCCTGCCTCAGCCTCCCGAGTAGCTGGGACTACAGGCACCCGCCACCATACCCGGCTAATTTTTTTTGTTTGTTTGTTTGTTTTTGTATTTTTAGTACAGATGGGGTTTCACCGTGTTAGCCAGGGTGGTCTTGATCTCCTGACCTCGTGATCCGCCCGCCTCGGCCTCCCAAAGTTCTGGGATTACAGGTGTGAGCCACCGCACCCAGCCGGGAGCTTCTCTCTTATATGAGTCAGGGAGGGGCTCCAAAGGTGAGAAAGAGGATTTCCTCCACAGTTCTAATGAATCAGACCAAACAAGGAAGCAGGAAACAAGACAGGTGTCTGGGACCTTCCATGCAATGCCCCAGAAAACTGGTTCACAGTGGGGGCAATATGGGAAATGAGGGTATGTTTCAAAATAACTTTTATAATTGCCTTATTCCAGATTCTCTGAAAGCCATTGTATAACAGATTTGTTGGGGTAACAAAATCCTTTTTCAGAAGAAGGTAGCAATGGATAGAGAAATTTTTTCTCAGGAGAAGTCATTCAGAGCAGATGTGGACAGGAAGGGTCGTACAAGGTTCATATACATGCTGAGCCCTGGGGGGTGGGGAATGAATGAGGGACCCCACAGGATGCCTTCTTTTGTGATGTGGTCCTACCCTGTGAGTGTATTAGTTGGGAAAAACTAAGTTTATTGTCATGGCAAACAACCCCCAAATCTCAGTGGCTTTAAAAATAAAGCGTTATTGGCCAGGCAGGGTGGCTCAGGCCTGTAATCCCAGCACTTTGGGAGGCCAAGGAGGGCAGATCACGAGGTCAGGAGGTCGAGACCATCCTGGCTAACATGGTGAAACCCCGCCTTTACTAAAAATACAAAAAATTAGCCAGGTGTGGTGGTGGGTGCCTGTAGTCCCAGCTACTGGGGAGGCTGAGGCAGGAGAATGGCATGAACCCCAGAGGCAGAGCTTGCAGTGAGCCAAGATCACACCACTGCACTCCAGCCTGGGTGACAGACCAAGACTCCATCTCAAAAAAATAAATAAATAAATAAATAAATAAAAATAAAATAAAAAAATAAAAATAAATAAATAAATAAATAAATAAATAAAGCTTTATTTCCTGTTAACACTACATGTCTATCTTGGGTTGCTGGGGAGCAGGGTTGGGATCTGCCCTGCGACCCACACAGCCTCTGCTTCGGGGGAAGGAATATGAAAATCCCATGGCTCTTCATAACTTTACATTTTACTGCCAAAAGCAAATCACTTTAACGGAGCTATAAAAGGAAGAGGGAAGAACAACACTATCATGTGCCTGGAAGGAGAAGAATCAGAATCATTGAGGAACCACACTAATGACTAACACACTGCAACTACAGAGATTTCCTGCAAAACTTGCATAATCACATATGCTCATTACTTTTGGATTTCTTGTGATTAGCAATCAAGGACAGTTTCTCAGCTAATCAGTACAGGAAGAAGAGCCTATGGTAACAGACAATAAAGGAACAGGTAAGACATAGATATAGGAACACAGGCAGGGGGAGTCAAAAGGATGTGAGGACAGGGGATGCAGCTGAGAGGGCATGGCCAAGTTGATTTGTAATAGCAACAAACTTAAGACAACCCAAACATTTACCAACAGGGGACTGGTTTAAATACGATGTGCTTACAAACACTGGAATTTACTAATCCACCAAGTGTTCATAGAGAACCTACTCTGTGCCAGACACTGAGCATAGTGCTGTGAACAATAAAAACCCACTAAAATGAAATGTAGTCATGAAAAAATGAGGTAGATTTGCATGCACTGATGTGGAAAGATACCTAAAATGTATAAAATGAAAAATGCTTGTTTCAGAACAGCATGTATCATATGATCCCATTTGTGTAAGAAATTCTTACATATCTAAGTATACTGTTTACATAATCTCATAGTGATGATCTCTGGGGTATGTATTTGAAGAATGGTTAGGAAGGCCAAGAATTTATTTGACACTTTATAATCTTGCATTCTATTTGTAACCTGAGCATATTTATACATATAACATAGATGATATATAATGTAATAATAGTAATTTTAATTTTTATCTTTGGAATAATAGAAAACAGTAGTATAATTTTAATAATTTTTAAAACTAACAATGATATATTTGGCTGCTAAAGAAAGGAAAGACAGGGAGTAGGCAGTAGCTGGAGCAGGACATCAGGTTAAGGGATAAGTTGACTACAATAGACAGGACAGGTGGGATAGGGGAGACTGGGATGGGAGAGTAAGCAGTGTACGTTTTTCCTGATAAAGCCATAGGGGATGAGATTTGGGGCTGAGTTGGGAGAAAATAACCTCAGATTGGATGATGGACATCTCGATTTTATAGGAGGGGGAAAAAGGAAAGAATGGGTATGGGGGCTGTCTGGCTATATAACAGGCATCCTTTATAATGGCTTCTGTTTTCCCACTGAGCTAGAAATAAGAGCACTTCCTCAGAGAGAGGGAAAAAGTAGGAAACTTTGCATTTCAAGAAAGATAGACAAGGGTTGAAAATGTAGTAAATATAAAAACAATCTTACTAAATAAATTTATAATTTTCAGAAAGTCAGAGTTGAGGGCCCTGCTGAAATTGGTAACCACAAATTTATAGTGGTACCAATCTGCTTAATTTTATGGGTATTTTTCTAGAGTTCTGCTAACATGAAACAGCAGATTCCTGATTCATTTAAGGCTGGGATTTTATTAGGTGGATATAATGAAGGGTCATAAGGGGCAAAGAAGTTTAAAATATTGATAAAAGGCTAAAATGGTGCCTCATTGCCCCTCAGTTGGGAAGGGAAGAAAAGAAATGAAAAGAAGAGGGGTTGGTGGATGGTGATTTTCAAGAAAAAGTGTTTGATGGCAGGGGACTGTCAAGAAGGAACAAACTTGAAAGACAAAAGGGTGTGGTCACAGAGTGTGGTATCTGAATATTTTATTCTTCAGCTGGAACAGCCCTGGGTAGTGACAAAGTATAGGATGACCATTGGAGAGGTGCTAAGTGAGCAGGAGGATGTCATTGGAGATGTGGGGCTCAAGGAACTGAAAGGCCAGGCCCTGGCTGGTGTCATGTCCTGGCCACATGTTAGGAAGCCAGGTCAAGGAAGCAGGAATGAAGACCCAGTGATGACAGGGAAGGGAAGGAATATTTGTCAAGGCATAATTCAGGTGTTCCTGAGTCCCCTGGCCATACTGCTATTTATTGCCATCCAAATCCCTGTGTATTATCTAATAATGAGATCTCTGGCCCTCTGGAATCAGAATGCATTGCCTTAACTTCTGTCTCCTGGGATCTAAAATTCCATCACTGGCCTGAATGATCAGTGTTCCAGGTGCCCTAAAGGAGAGGGCTCAGAGAATTTGCTGTATATCTCTCTTTCCTTCGTCATGCCATTTGCTAGGTCTAGTTTATGGCCACTGTCTACTCACTGTCCCTGAAAAATATGGTCCCAAGAGAGGATCAAGCTTACTGCCTCCAGGAGGTAGCAGCCCTTGAGGGCTAATTTGCAGAGGTTCTGCAAGAGACATTTTCTCTCTCACACAGGCTCTGCTTTTCATAACCCTCCCAACCCTCCTTGTTGTCTTCTACCCCCCCAGGACTGGCCCTATTCCAAACTGCAGAATTTGTATGAGAGTAATCTAAAGTAATTGTAACTCTTATTATGCAATTTCTATCATTTATGAGTAATATGAGTTCTTGAGATAATTGGAAAACATGGTATTTCTATTGTCCCACCTTCAATGGAAAGTGGAAGAAATACATGGGCATCTGCAGGAAACCTAACATTCCGCACCCAAACACAGAATGGTTCTGAACACTACTGGGGGTATGTCTAACTTAGACATCTTGGCTAAATCTATCCTTTTTTATCTCTACTAAAGTGGAGAGAATTTTGGTAGCCTGGGATCTGACTGCTTACCCAGAGCTTGTCTAGAGATAATCCAAGCAGTTGGGTACACTTCTAAGATGTTGAACAAGGCCTATGAGTCTCTGGTGACGTGTCTATAACTGACATCCTTCAATTCACCTGTGGCACAGGTACCTAGACCAGGAATGCATGCACCAGCCTTGCTCATGTGTCCCAGGTAAACAAATCATTGTTATAAAGTCACTCTAGGTTTTATAACAGAGCAACTCTCCTTCCAGCCCAATAATACCATTTTAAAGGTATAGACACCAAAAATGTACTAATAGCCTTAGTTTGACCTAATTTGCTATTCAGCTTCTTCATGTGGAAAGTCAAATAGCTGGATGCCACCTGCATTATTTCATTTAAATTTTTTTTAATTTTTAATTTTTGTGGGTACATAGTAGGTGTATATATTTATGGGTTACATGGGATATTTTGATACAGGCATACAGCAAGTAATAATTGCATCAGGGTAAATGGGATATTCATCACCACAAGCATTTATCCTTTGTGTTACAAACAATCCAATTATACTCTTTTAGTTATTTTTAAAATATACAATTAAATTATTTTTGACTATAGTCACCTTGTTGTGCTAGAAAATACTAGGTCTTATTCATTCTTTCTAACAATATTTTTGTACCCATAAACCATCCCCATTTCCCACTCCCACCCCCACTACCCTTCTCAGGCTCTGGTAACCATCCTTCTACTCTCTATCTCCATGAGTTCAATTGTTTTAATTTTCAGCTCCCAGAAATAAGTGAGAACATGCAACATTTGTCTTTCTGTGCTGTCTTATTTCACTTAATATAGTGACCTTCAGTTCCATCCATGTTGCTGTGCAAATAACAGGATCTCATTCTTTAGAGAGACTGATTTCTTTTCTTTTGGGTATGTGCCCAGCAGGGTGTTGCTGGATGGTATGGTAGCTCTATTTTTAAATTTCTGAGGAACCTCCAAGTTGTTCTTCGTAGTGGTTGTGCTAATTTACATTCTCATCAACAGCATACGAAGGTTTCCTTTTCTCCACATCCTAGCCAGCATTTGTTATTGGCTGATTTTCAGATAAAAGCCATTTTAGCTGGGATGAGATGATATTTCATTGTAGTTTTGATTTGCATTTCTCTGATAATGATATTAAGCACTTTTTCATATACTGTTTGCCATTTGTAGGTCTCCTTTTAAGAAATCTCTATTCAGATCTTTTGCCCTTTTTAACTCAGATTATTTGATTTTTTCCTATAGAGTTGTTTGAGCTCCTTATATATTCAGCTTATTAATCCCTTGTCGGATGGGTAATTTGCAAATATTTTCTCCCATTCTGTGGGTTGTCTCTTCACTTTGTTGATTGTCTTCTCTGCTGTACAAAAGCTTTTTAATGTAATGTGATCCCATTTGTCCATTTTGCTTTGGTTGCCTGCGCTTCTGGGGTATTACTCAAGAAATCTTTGCTCACTCCAATGTCCTGAAGTTTTTGCAGTGTTTTCTTCTAGTAGTTTAATAGTTTGAAGTTTTAGATTTAAGTTTTTAATCCATTTTGATTTGATTTTTTAATATGGTGAGAGACAGGGGTCTAGTTTCATTCTTCTGCAAGTGGATATTGAGTTGCCCAGCAACATTTTTTAAGACTGGTTTTATCCTAATGTATATTCTTGGCACCTTTATTAAAAGTGAGTTCACTGTAGATGTATAGATTTATTTCCTAGTTCTCGATTCTATTCCATCGGTCTATGTGTCTGTTTTTATGCCACCACCATGCAGTTTTGGTTACTATAGCTCTGTAGTATAATTTGAAGTCAGGTAATGTGATGCCTGCTGTTTTGTTCTTTTTGCTCAGGATGGCTTTGGCTCTTCTGGTTCTTTTGTGGTTCCATATAAACTTTAGGATTTTTTTCTATTTCTGTTAAGAATGTCATTGGTATTTTGATAGAGATTGCATTGAATTTGTCAATTTCTTTGGGTAGTGTAGACATTTAAACAATATTGATTCTTCTAATCCATAAACATGGAATATCTTTCCAATTTTTGGTGTCTTCTTCCATTTCTTTCATCAATGTTTCATAGTTTTCATTGTAGAGATCTTCACTTCTTTGGTTCAGTTTAATTCCTAGGTATTTATTTGTAGCTATTGTAAATGAGGTTACTTTCTTGATTTCTTTTTCAGAATGTTTGCTGTTGGCATATAAAAATGCTACTGATTTTTGTATGTTGATTTTGTATCCTACAACTTTACTGAATTTGTTTATCAGTTTTAATGGTTTTTTGGTGGAGGCTTTAGATTTTACCAAATATAAGATCATATCATCTGCAAACAACAAGTTGACTCCTTCCTTTCCAATTTGAATCCCCTTTATTTATTTCTCCTGTTTGATTGCTCTAGCTAGGACTTCCAGTACTATGATGAATTACAGTGGTGAAAGTGGGCATCCTTCTCCTGTTCCAAATCTTAGAGGAAAGGCTTTCAGTTTTTTCCCTTTTAGTATGGTACTAGCTATGTGTCTGTCATATGTCAGCTTTCACTGCATTGGAGTATGTTGTTTCTACACCCAGTTTTTTGAAGGTTTTTATCAAGAAGTGATGTTGAATTTTATCAGCACCAGTTGAAATGTTCATATGGTTTTTATTCTTAATTCTGTTGATATGATGTATCACATTGATTGATTTGCATATGTTGAACCATTCTTGCATCCCTGAATAAATTTCAGTGGTCATGATGAATATTCTTTTTAATGTGTTGTTGGATTCAGTTTGCTTATATTCTGTTGAGGATTTTTGGATCAATGTTCAGCAGAGATATTGGCCTGTAGTTTTCTTTTTTTGATGTGTCCTTGTCTGGTTTTGGAATCGGGGTAATACTGGACTCAGAAAATAAGTGTAGAAGTATTGCCTTCTCCTCTATTTTTTGGAATGGTTTGAAAGTAGAATTAGTATTAGATCTTTGTATTAGTCCATTCTCATGCTGTTAATAAAGACACATCTGAGACTAGGTAATTTATAAAGGAAAGAGGTTTAATTGACTCACAGTTCAGAATAGCCAGGGAGGCCTCAAGAAACTTACAATTATGGTGGAAGGGGAAGCAAACACATCCTTCTTCGCATGGTGGCAGGAAGGAGAAGTCCTGAGCAAAGGGGTAAAAGCCCCTTATAAAGCTATCAGATCTCGTGAGAACTCACTCACTATCATAAGAACAGCATGGAGGAACTGCCCCCATGATTAAATTACCTCCCACTGGGTCCCTCCCACCACATGTGAGAATTATGGGAACTACAATTCAAGATGGAATTTGGGTGGGGACACAGCCAAACCATATTATTCTGCCTCTGTCCCCTCCCAAGTCTCATGTCCTCACATTTCAAAACACAATCATGCTTTTCCAACAGTCCCCCAAAGTCTTAGCTCATTCCATCATTAACCCAAAAGTCCAAGTCCAAAGTCTCATCTGAGACAATGCAAGTCTCTTCCAACTATGAACCTGTAAAATCGAAAGCAAGTTAGTTACTTCCTTGATACAATGGGGTACAGGCACTGGATAAATACATCCATTTCAAACAGAAGAAATTGGCTAAAACCAAGGGGTTATAGGCCCCACACAAGTCTGAAATCCAATAGGGAAGTCATTAAACCTTAAAGTTCCAAAATGACCTCTTTTAACTCTATATCTCACATTCAGGTCATGCTGATGCAAGAGGTGGGCTCCCATGGCCTTGGGCAGCTCCACTCCTGTGGCTTTGCAGGGTACAGCTCCCCTCCTTGTTGCTTTGATGGGCTGGTGTTGAGTGCCTGTGGCTTTTCCAGGCACATAGCACAATCTGTCAGTGGATCTACTATTCTGGGGTCTGGAGAACAATGGCCCTCTTCTCACAGCTCTACTATGCAGTGCCCCAGTGGGGACTCTGTGTAGGGGCTCCAACCACACATTTCCCTTCCACAGTGCCCTAGTAGAGGTTTTCCATGAGTGCTCTGCCCTGTAGCAAACTTCTGCCTGGACATCTAGGTGGTTTCCATACAACCTCTGAAATCTAGGTGAAGGTTCCCAAACCTCAATTCTTGACTTCTGTGCACCTACAGGCTCAACAACCACGTGGAAGTTGCCAAGGCTTGGGGCTTGCACCCTCTGAAGCAATGGCCCAAGCTGTACATTGGCTCCTTTCAGCCACAGCTGGAGCTGAAGAAGTTTGGACGCAGTGCCCCATGTCCCAAAGCTGCACAGATCAGAGGGGCTCTGCACCCAGCCCAGAAAACCATTTTTCCCTCTCTGTGAAGGTCTCTGACATGCCCTGGAGACATTTCTACCATTGTCTTGGTGATTAACATTTGGCTTCTCATTACTTAAGCAAATGTCTGCAGCTGGCTTGAATTTCTCCCCAGAAAATGTCGTTTTGTTTTTTGTTTTTTTTTCCTATTGCATTGTCAGGCTGCAAATTTTCCAAACTTTTATGCTCTGCTTCCTCTTGAATGCCTTGCTCCTTAGAAATTTCTTCTGCCAGATACCCTAAATCATCTCTCTCAAATTCAAAGTTCCACAGATCTTTGGGGCAGGGGCAAAATGCTGCCAGTCTGTTTGCTAACACATAACAAGAGTCACCTTTGCTCCAGTTCCCAACAAGTTCCTCATCTCCATCTGAGACTACCTCAGCCTAGACTTCATTGTCCATATCAGTATCAGCATTTTGGGCAAAGCCATTCAACAAGTCTCTAGGAAGTTCCAAGCTTTCCCACATCTTCCTGTCTTCTGACCTCTCCAAGCCTCTTGGAAGTTCCAAACTTTCCCACATTTTCCTGTCTTTTTCTGAGCCTTCCAAATTGTTCCAACATCTGCCTGTTACACAGTTCCAAAGTCACTTCCACATTTTTGGGTATCTTTATAGGAGCAACCCACTATCTGAGGTACCAATTTACTGTATTGGTCCATTCTCACGCTGTTAATAAAGACACACCCAAGACTGGGTAATTTATAAAGAAAAGAGTTTTAATTGACTCACAGTTTAGCATGGCTGGGGAGGCCTCAGGAAACTTACAATCACGGCAGAAGGGGATGTAGATACACCCTTCTTTACATGGCAGCAGGAAAAAGTGCTGAGCAAAGGGGGAAAATCCCCTTATAAAACCATCAGATCTTGTGAGAACTCACTATCATGAGAACAGCATGGGGGAACTGCCCCCATCATTAAATTACCTCTTGCTGTGTCCCTCCCATGACATATGGGAATTATGGAAACTACAATTGAAGATGAGATTTGGGTGGGGGTGGGGCCACTTATTGTTATAAACTTTCCTCTTAATACTTTTGCTGCATTCCATGTTTTTGTCTTGCAATCTATTTTGTCTGATATGAGTATAGCTACTCTTGCTCTTTTTTGGTTTCCATCACCACAGAATATCTTTTTCCATCCCCTTATTTTCAGTCTATATGTGTCTTTTTAGGTGAAATGGGTTTCTTGTGTGCAACAGATCATCGAATCCTCTTTTTTTCATCCATTCTGATACTCTGTCTTTTTACTGGAGAGTTTAGTCCATTTACATTCAATATTATTATTGATAAGTAAGGACTTACTTCTGCCTTTTAAAAAATTTGTTTTCTGGTTGTTTTGTGGACTTCTCTTTCTTTTTTCCTTCTTTTCTGTCTTCCTTTTAGTGAAGATGATTTTCTCTGGTGGTATGATGTAATTTCCTGCTTTTTATTTTTGGTGTATACATTGTATTTTTTTTATTATAGGTTGCCATGAGGCTTGCAAATACTGTCTTATATCCCATTATTTTAAGTTGATAACATCTTAACACTGTTTGCATAAATAAACAAGCAAAAAGAAAACTAATAGAAACTCTGTTTTTTAACTTTGTGCCCTGCTTTTTAACTTCGTGTTGTCTCTATTTATATCTTATTGCACTACGTATTGAAAAGTTGTAGTTATTATTTTTGATTGGTTCATCTTTTAGTCTTCTACTTAAGATAAGACTTGTTTACATACCACAGTTACAGTGTTATCATACTGTGTTTTTCTGTGTACTTACTACTACCAGTGAGTTTTGTGCTTTCAGATGGTTTCTTACTATTCATAATGTCCCTTTCTTTCTGGATGAAGTGTTCCCTTTAGCATTTCTTATAGGACAGGCCTGGTGTTGATGAAATCCCTCAGCTTTTGTTTCTCTGGGAAAGTCTTTACATCTCTTCATGTTTGAAGGATACTTTTGCCAGATATACTATTCTAGGGTAAAAGTTGTTTTCCTTCAGCACTTTAAATATGTCATGCCACTCTCTTCTGGCCTGTAAGGTTTTCACTGAAAAGTCTGCTGCCAGACATATTGGAGCTCCACTGTATATCATTTGTTTCTTTCCTCTTGCAGCTTTTAGGTTCCTTTCTTTATCCTTGACCTTTGGGAGTTTGATTATTAAATGCCTTGAGATAGTCTTCTTTGAGTTAAATCTGCTTGGTGTTCTATAACTTTTTTGTACTTTGATATTAATACGTTTCTCTAGGCTTGAAAATTTCTCTATTCTTATCCCTTTGAATAAATGTCCTACTCTTATCTCTTTCTCTACCTCTTAAGGCCAATAACTCTCAGATTTGCCCTTTTGAAGCTATTTTCTAGATCTTGTAGGTGTGCTTTGCTTTTTGTTATTCTTTTTCTCCTCTGACTGTGTATTTTCAAGTAGGCTGTCTGCAAGCTCACTAATTCTTTCTTTTGCTTGATCTATTCTTCTGTTAAAAGATTCTGATACATTCTTCATTGTCAACTGCATTTTTCAACTCCAGAATTTCTTCCTAATTCTTTTTAATTATTTCTATATCTTGGTTAAATTTATCTGACAGAATTCTGAATTCCTTCTTTGTGTTTTCTGTAATTTCTTTGGGATTCCTCAAAACAGGTATTTTGAAAACTTTTCCTGAAAGGTCACATATCTCTGTTTCTCCAGAATCAGTCCCTGGTAACTTACTTAGTTCATTTTGTAAAACCATGTTTTCATGGATGGTCTGGATGCTTGTGGATGTTTGCCAATTTCTGGAAATTGAAGAGTTAGGTATTTATTGAAGTCTTTGCATTCTGGGCTTGTTTGTGCCTGTCCTTGGGAAGGCTTTTGAGATATTCAAAAGGACTTGGGTGGTGTAACCTAAGCCATGTCTGCATTAAGGGGGACCCCAAATCCACTAATACTGTAGTTATTGCAGACTCATAGAGGTACCACCTTGGTGGTCTTGGATAAGATCTGGAAGATTCTCTGGATTACCTGTTCTCTTTTCTTATTTTCTCCCAAACAAACAGGGCCTCTCTCTTTCCATGCTGAGCTGTCTGGAGCTGGGATTAAGGTGACACAAGCACCTCCATGGCCACCATCACTACTGTGCTGGGTCAGGCCTGAAGCCATCACAGCACTAGGTCTCGCCCAAGGCTCACTGTAATGACTACCTTTCTACTGCCTATGTTTGGTGAAGGCTCTAGGGCTCTACAATCAGCAGGTGATGACTCCAGCCAGGCTTGTGTCCTTCTCTTCAGGGAAGCAAGTTTTCGACACCCTTGGTAGGTATAGAGATGGCATCTAGGAGTCAGGGACTGGAGTTGAAAACCTTAGGAATCTACTTGGTATTCTATTGTCCTGCAGCTGAGCTGACACTCAAACCACAAGACCCAGTCCTTCCCATTCTTCTCTCCCCTTTCCATAGGCAGAGGAGCTTCATTCCACGGCTACCACCACCACAGGCCCACAGTGAGTCCTGCCAGGCTACCACCAATGTTCACTAAAGGCACAAGGACTCTTCAGTTAGCTTGTGGTGAATGCCGCCAGGCCTGGGACTCACTTTTCAGGGAAGTGGGCTCCACTCTGGTCCAGGGAATGTCCAGAAATGCCATCCAAGAGCCAAGGCCTGGAAATAGGGACCCCCAAGAGCCTGCTTGATGGTTTGCCCCTGTGGTTGAGCTGGTATGTAAGGTACAAGACAAAGTCCCCTTTACTTTTCCTTCTGCTTTTCTCCAGCAGGAGGAGTCATTCCATAGCCACAACAACTGGGAATGTGCTGGGTCTCACTTGAAGCCAGCATGTCTCAGAATCTTACCCAAGGCCCAGAGTGTACTACCTGGGTCTCACTACTGATTATTCAGGGCCCAAGCCTCTTTAGTCAGCAGGTGATGAGGTACTGCTGGAACTGGGTCCTTCTCTTCAAGGCAGCAGTTTCCCTTCTGGCCCAGGGTATGTCTAGAAATGTCATCCAGGAGCTAGAGCCTCGAGTGGGGGCTTCACAATTCTGACTGGTACCCTATCTTACTGTAGCTGAACTTGTATCCAAGATGCAAGACAAAGTCCTTATTACTCTTGCCCTTCTTCTCCTCAAGCAAAAGCAAGAGGTCTCTTTTGGAGCCACGAGCTGTGCTGTCTGAGGTTTGGGGAGGGGTAGCACAAGCCCTGGCTGCCCTGGCTGATGTCCCAGTAGGTCACATGCCCCCCAGTTCCACGGGCTCTGAGCCCAGCTCAGAACTAGGACTTGCCTTGGAGTTGCAGTCCTTGTGGCCCAGATTACATTTCAAGTTTATTTAGGCCTCAAAGCACTTTAGCCTGTGGTGGCAAAGCTTGCTGGAACTCAAATTCCAACTACTGGGATGGGTGATTCCCATCTGGTGAGGGCTCCTCAAACTGCTTCCTCTATAGGTGGGCATCTGCTGAGTTCAGCCTTATTTTGCTTTTCGCTGTGACAGGGGAGCACTGAGGTCAATGCAAAGTCTCACAGTTGCTGCATTCTCCCTCTCCCAAGCACACAGATTCTCTCTCTGCCTCATGTGGCCACTGCCAGGGTATGGGGTAGTGGTGTCAGCAATTCAAGACTGTCTTTCCTATTGTCTTTGGTGCCTCTGTCAGCAGTAGGAAGTTAAAACCAGGTACTGTGAGTGTTCACCTAGTTTTTGGTTCTCACGAAGATGCTTTTATTGTGTAGATAGTGTTAAATTTGGTGCTTCTGTAGGAGGGACAATCAGTGGAGATGTCTATTCAACTATCTTGCTCCTCCCCTCTTTCCAGATCTAATTTTTAATTTTTTATTGCTATACTATGGTTGTACACATTTGGGGGTGCATGTAATATTTTGACACATGTATATAATGTGTAATTATTCAATCATTGTAATTGGGATATCTATCACCTTAAACATTTATCTTTGTGTTGAAAACATTACAGTTCTCTTCTAGCTATTTGGAAATATACAATAAATTATAGCTAACTATCAAATACCAGAAATTACTCCTTCTATCAATCGTATTTTTGTATCCCTTAACCAACTTCTGTTCATCAGTCTCCCCCTACTTCCCTTGCAATGTAATTTCTGACATTCCTGACTGTCATATCTAATCACTTCTAATCAGAATAACAATGACATTAAAAATGTCATTTAGGCCAGGCACGGTGGCTCACACCTGTAATCCCAGCACTTTCGGAGGCCGAGACGGGCAGATCACCTGAGATCAGGAGTTTAAGACCAGCCTGGACAACATGGCAAAACCCTGTCTCTACTAAAAGTACAAAAATTAGTTGGGCATGGTGGCGAGTGCCCGTAATCCCAGCTACTCAGGAGGCTGAGGCAGGAGAATTGCTTGAACCCAAGAGGTGGAGGTTGCAGTGAGCTGAGATCACGTCACTGCACTCCAGCCTGAGCGACAAGAGAGAGACTCCGTCTAAAAAAAAAGAAAAAGCCCTTCAGATTTAGAGTTACTAGTGAACCTTTTCAAAGAATCTAAGTATATATTCTAGATGTGGCACAGAGTGAGAAGTCTCCTTATGTGCTTTATATTAAGATTCTGTCAGTTGATGAATAAATATATGATATTTGTATTACTATAAATATGTCCTATATGTACACTACTATGATTAATGATGACTGTTAAAGCTATTTATTGTATGTGCAAAAAAACTTTTTAATATTTAAATAATAGGAAAATTGTTTCACAGTTAATATAAATATCAATAGTGCATTATTTAGAGAACATTAAGAAAAACATAATTTTTCTGCCAACAAACATCTAATAAAATTAAATAATTGTACATGTCAACATACAAATACCTGTAGCATTTCTATACAACAATATCAAACTAGCTGAAAAGGAAGTCAAGAAACCATTTACAATTGCAACAAAAAAATAAAATACCTAGGAATAAATGTAACTAAGGAGGTGAAAGACATCTATAAGAAAAATTACAAAACACATTGATGGAAGAAATTGATGACACAAAGAATTGGAAAAACATCCCAAGCTCATGAATTGGAAGAATTAATATTGTCAAAATCACCATACTGCACAAAGTAATCTAAAGATTCAGTGAAACCCGAGCAATAAATATCAGTGATATTCTTCACAGAAATAGCAACAACAATCTAAAATTCACATGGAACTAAAAAAGAGCCCTAGTAGCCAAAGCAATCCTGAGCAAAAAGAACAAAGCTTGAGGCATCATGTTATCTGATTTCAAAATATAATACAAGGCTATAGTAACAAAAACAGCATGGTGTTGGTATAAAAATAGACCTGTGGAAGAGAATAGAGAACCCAGAAATAAAGCCACATATTTGCAGCTAACTCATCTTTGACAAAGCTGACAAGAATTTACACTGGGGAAAAGACATCCTCTTTACTAAATGGTGCTGGGTAAACTGGATTGCCACATGCAGAAGAATGAAACTGAATACCTATCTCTCACCATATTAAAGAATCAACTCAAAATGGATTAAAGACTTAAATGTAAGACCAAAATCTATAAAAATACTAAAAGAAAATCTAGGGAAAAGTCTCCTGGATATTGGCCTAGGCAAAGAATTTGTAACCTCAAAGAACCTCAAAGTACAGGCAGCAAAAACAAAAATAGACAAATGGGATTTAATCTAACTAAAAAGCTTCTACACAGCAAAAGAAAAAATCAACGGAGTGAAGAGACAACTTGTAGAATGAGAGATAATATTATTCATCCAACAGAGGACTAGTATCCAGAAAACACAAAAACATCAATACAAAGAACACAAATACAAAGAACAGCAAAACCTCCTGAAATAATCCCATTAAGAAATAGGCAAAAGATCTGAATAAGTACTTATCAAAAGAAGACATACAAATGGACCAGGCATGGTGGCTCACGCCTGTAATCTCAGCACTTTGGGAGGCCAAGGTGGGCGGATCACCTGAGGCTAGGAGTTCGAGACCAGCCTGGCCAACATGGTGAAACCCGTCTCTACTAAAAATACAAAAATTAGCTGGGCGTGGTGGTGGGCACCTGTAATCCCAGCTACTTGGGAGGCTGAGGCAGGAGAATCACTTGAACCCAGAAAGTGGAGGTTGCAGTAAGCCAAGATTGCGCCACTGCACTCCAGCCTGGGTGACAAAGTGAGACTCCATCTCAAAAAAAAAAAAAAAAAAAAAAGACATACAAATGGCCAGCAGTTATATGAACAAATGCTCAACACCACTAAGCATCAGAGAAATGCAAATCAAAACCACAATGAGATATTATCTCACCCACTTTAAATGACTATTATTAAAAAGTCAAAAAATAACAGATGTTGGCAAGGATGCAGAGAAAAGGGAACTCTTTTTTTTTTTTTTTTTAGATGGAGTCTTGCTCTGTTGACAGGCTGGAGTGCAGTGGCACAATCTCAGCTCACTGCAACCTCCGCCTTCTGGGTTCAAGCGATTCTCCTGTCTCAGCCTCCCAAGTAGCTGGGATTACAAAGATGCACCACCACACCCAGCTAATTTTTTGTATTTTAGTAGAGATAGGGGTTCACCATGTTGGCCAAGACAGTCTTGATCTCCTGACCTCATTATCCACCCGCCTGGGCCTCCAAAAGTGCTGTGATTACAGGCGTGAGCCACCGTGCCTGGTTGAAAAGGGAACTCTTATACACTGCTGTTGGAAATGTAAATTAGTATAGCCATTATAAAAAACATTATAAAGGTTTCTTAAAAAATTAAAAATAGAGCTACCATATGATACAGCAATCCCACTACTGGGTATTTATCCAAAAGAAAGGAAATCAGTATATCAAAGGGATACTGGCACCTCCATATTTATTACAGCACTGTTCATGATAGCAAAGAGATAGAATCAACCTAAGAGACCACCAACAGATGAATAAATGAATAAATAATATGTGGTGGCCGGGCACAGTGGCTCACACCTGTAATCCCAGCACTTTGGGATGACAAGACTGGTGGATCACCTGAGGTCAGGAGTTCGAGACCAGTCAACATGGAGAAACCCTGTCTCTACTAAAAAATACAAAAATTAGCCTGGCGTGGTGGCACATACCTGTAATCCCAGCAACTCGGGAGGCTGAGGCAGGAGAATTGCTTAAACCCAGGAGGCAGAGGTTGTGGTGAGCCGAGATTGCGCCATTGCCATTGCACTGCAGCCTGGGCAACAAGAGCAAAACTCCACCTGAAAAAAAAAAAAAAAAAAAGAATATGTGGTATATGTGCTATATGTACACAATGGAATATTATTCAGCCATAAAAAGAATGAAATCCTGTCCTTTACAGCAACACTGAATGGAACTGGTGTTCATTATGTGAAGTGAAATGAGCCAGGCACAGAAAGATAAATGTTGCATGTTCTCACTCATAGGTGGAAACTAAGAAGTTGAACTCATGGAAGTAGAGAGTAGAACAATAGTTACTACACATTGGAAAAGGTCCGGGAGAAGAATATAGGGAGGTTGGTTAATGGGCACAAATACACAGTTAGACAGAAGGAATAAGTTCTAGTGTTCCATAGCACAGTAGGGTGAGAACACTTAACAATAATTTCTTGTATATTTCAAAATAGCTAAAAGAGAAGATTTAAAATGTTCCCAACCCAAAGAAATGATAAATGTTTGAGGTGAGGGATATCCTAAATACCCTGATTTGACGATTACACATTGTATGCATGTATCAAAATATCACATGTATCCCATAAATATGTATAATTGTTATGTATTGTGATGGTTAATATTTGGTGTCAACTGGATTGGATTGAAGGATGCCTAGATAGCTGGTAAAGTATTGTTTCTGGGTGTGTCTATAAAGGTATTGCCAGAGGAGACTGACATTTGAGTCAGTGGACTGGGAGAGGGAGACACACTCTCAATGTGGGTGGGCACCATCCAATCTGGCTGCCAGAATGGCTAGAACACAGCAGGCGGAAGAAGGTGGGATATAAGCTGGCTTGCTGAGCCTTCTGGCTTTCATCTTTCTCCCCTGCTGGATGCTTCCTTCCATTCCTCCTGCCCTTGGACATTAGATTCCAGGTTCTTTGGCCTTTGGACTCTTGGACTTAACACCAGTGGTTTGCCAGGGTCTCTCAGGCCTTCAGCCACAGACTGAAGGCTGCACTATTGGCTTCCCTGCTTTTGAGGCTTTTGGACTCAGACTGAACCACTACTGATGTCTTTCTTCCCCAGCTTGCAGACGGCCTATCGTGAGACTTTGCCTTGTGATCATGTGAGTCAATTCTACTTAACCCATTTATGCCTGAGGTTGCAATTTTTTTGTGTGAAAAATCAGACCTTGGTGATGACCTTGTGCTCAAGGATATAAATAACTCCCACATGCTTAGCATTCCAATAATGGAACATTAGGCATATGTAAACTCCCTTCCAGATATACATATATCCTATTAGTTCTGTCCCTCTGGAGAACCCTGGCTAATGTATGTATCAATAAAAGTGTTGCTTGTTAAAAATTAATTATACGACACAGAGTAATAGATTAGATATCAAAGTGATAACTTTTACAGAATTTTTTATATGCTGGCATTCATTGTATTAAACATAATGAGCTCTAATAGCTGTATTTTACTTAATTTAGGCTACTATGCTTTTAGAAACTAGTTCTACAGGGATTCATCAAAGCAGAATGGAAAAGAGAATGTCAAATATTATCACCTCAAAATTTGACAAAGGAAAAACTTCCAAATCATATGTCACAATCATGATAAATTGTCATCAATCTGAATATAATACATTATTATAATATGTATAAAGAAATAAAGAAATTATTAAGGAAAAATGAAGCCACAGCTGAATAGCTAGCTCTTCCTCTCACCTCAGTTGAAAGTGAGGGTTTATAGAGTATCGTAAATAAGTGGTATAGCAATCATAAAAGCAATCAAGCAGCTGGCAGTGCTAATAAATTCCTGTTTCTGCATGAGAATATAAAACTTTTAAAATTTGAATATTAAACTTTCATAATATATTTGTAATAATTATTAAACTATTTTGGGTGAAACTTCTAATTTTCTTCCTGCAGTGCATTTCATGATACTATTGTAAACCTCATCTTCTACTTTGAGAAAATACTATGCTTTAATACTTGGCCATCTGCTATTAGGACAAAATGTATATTTGGTGTACCTCTAGAGACCTTTTACTAAATGGTCACCTCTAACTTTAAACTTCAAGCTTTTCCAGGCATAGTTCATTCTACTTCCAGGGCCACCTTGCCACTGGTATAAATTCTCTTTCCACGGCTCAAAATTTATATCAAGATTCTTATTTATTTATATATTTAATGGGTACAACATGGTGCTTGGATGTACATATACACAGTGAAATAACTACTACAGTCAAACAAATGTAAATATTCATCACTTTCCATAGTTACCTATGTGTGCTAAGAGCACCTAAAATCTATTCTGTTAGCAAATTTTCAGTATACAATACAATATTATTAACCATAGTCTCCATACTGTATTTTAGAGCTCTAGACTTATCATCCAATTTAACTGCAAATTTGTACCCTTTGACATACCTCTATTTCCTCCCCCTCCTTACCCCTGGTAACCACTGTTCTACTCTCTGTTTTTATTTAAAACTCCTAGAAGAAAACATGGGAAGAGCTCTTTGATACTGGTCTTGGAAATGACTTTTGGCCATCACCCCAAAAGCACAGTGACAAAAGCAAAAATAAACAAGTAGGATTACATCAAACTAAAAAGATTCTGCATAGCGAAAGAAATAACAAAATGAAAAGGCAGCCTGCAGACAGGGAGAAAATATTTGCAAACCATATATCTAACAAAGGGTTAATATCCAAACATATAAGGGACTCACACACCTCAATAGCAAAAAACCCTCAATAATTCAATTTAAAAATGGGCAAAGGAATGAAGTAGACATTTTTCCAAAGAGGGCATATGAATGGCCAACAGTTATATGAAAAGGTACTCAGTATCACTAGTCTTCAGGGAACTGCAAATCAAAACCACAATGAGATTATCACTTCACCCCTGTTAGGATGGCCATTATAAAAAAGTCAAGGAATAAGTGTTGGAGAGAATATGGAGAACAGAGAACCCTTAGACACTATTGGTGTGAATGTAAATTGGTATAGCCGTTATGAAAAAAAACATAGATTTTCCTCAAAAAATTAAAACTAGAACTACTATATGACCAGGCAATCCCTATGCTGGGTATATATACCCAAACAAAAGGAAATCAGCACTTTGTAGAAATATCAGTGCTTCCACATTCACTGCAGCATTATTTATGATGGACAAGAAATGGAATCAACTTATGTGCCCATTAATGGATGAATGGATAGAGTAAATGTGATATATATACACAATGGTATATTATTCGGGCTTCAAAAAGAGGGAGGTCCTGCCATTTGTAACAACACGGAGAACCTGGTAGACATTATGCTAACTGAAATAAGGCAGGCAAAGAAAGACAAATACTGCATGATCTTACTTATATGTGGCATCTAAAAAACTCAAGATTCCCTTTAAAAGTCCTCTTCAATGCTCCCCACATCTGTGTTGACTGAAAATGTATCAAGTTGATCCTGAAATAACTCCTTCACTGCTTCCCAATGTGCAGGCAATAAAAATTAGGTATCAACTCACCTGCACGGTGTTTTTTCTATATCATCTTTATCCTCTCACTCACAACACACCCATTTTATAAAGTATTGTTTTCATCCTTGACACCACACCAAACCAATGAACACTGCCAAAAACTTCAGCTTCTTGTAAATATGTGATAGATCTTTCTGGAAGATCTTCAGAGCATTTTCTAAAAGGTGAAAGAATGGGATACAATACATGTTCCTTCAGTTCCTAAGACCCTGAAGAGAAGGAACCAAGTCAGAAAACTCATGGGCTCACCTGCAGATGCATATGCATATGCAAAATGCAACTCTGGTGAGTCCAAAATAGTCCACTCAATGGCTTCTGTTCATGCAGCACCCCGAGCCACAGGCTGAAACCAGGGTGAGGCAAGTGAGGTACTCACCTTGAGCATAAAATGTAAGGGGGACATCAACAACTTGGTAACCAACATAAATAATATTTTAGTGTAATATTTTGAAAAATCAAAATTATTGCCCCCCAAATCATGATGAACAGTTCATGAAGGAATTGATGAAACTAATAAATAGAATTAGACATAAATAAACATGAATTAATAACCAATTCAGTAACCAATTTACGGGGATTAATGATTCTAAATTGTAAATTGCGGGTTGTAGGATAGGAAATGAGGACTGAAAAGAAAAAAAACACTAGGATTTCAAGCCTGCCTGAAAATAACATCATTATCGAGAGAATGGCCATCCAGTTTGGGAGTAAATTGACAGTTCAGTTCCAGACCTATAATGAAAAATAAAAGTAGCACTTAGAGAATTTTATATTGAAAGGAAGAAGAAAAACAGGATGTAATATGAGGGGGCACCAACTACCAGCAAAATCGATTTCATGTTATAGAGTGTTTTAAAGTCAATTAGTGATGATAGGTTATAATGGAGGGATGAAACACCCAAAGGAAGACAAAGAGAAAGGAAATAAGAGAGGTATTGTCACATAGTCACAGACAAAGAAATAATAGGAGGAAGAAATATGGGTGGGGTTGCACTGAATGCACTCCACTTTCGCCAAGTAGGAGGGTAATAATCCAAGGGTGGATGCAGTGAGAAGGGCAGGGTCATAGCTTGAGTACAGCAAGAAATCATGACCCAGCCCTGTGGAATAAACAGAGGAATCATAAAAAAATGCATAAGCTTTTTGGAATAAACAGAGGACTCCTGAAAATTGCATAAGTCTTGGAAAGTAGATGAACTGCAAGAAAAAAAAGATGAAGAAAAAAACAAGGAATTTATATTACAATCCACCACCACCACCACCACAAAATGGCCAAAATGTTTTGTTTTTGTGGTCTGGGCTCTATAAAAGTTGTTTTCCTCCTACTCCTTTCTTCTCCCCTCTTCCACTGTTTCCAATCCTTTCTTAGAAGGTACTGTGTGATAGCAATCAGAACAGAGGGCAGTATATGCCAAGGGGTTGCGGGCGACTTTCCCTGTTGCTGTTTTCTGTGGCTGTGCTTTCCTATTTTAGACATTGACCACCATCCATCAATGCTGATTTGCTTCCGGGTAGCCACTGATGACCTGGTGCATTTTGTTACAATGCTGCTCTGGTTATGATTCCCACAGTTCCCATCTTGTTGTATGCAACTGCTTATCATAAGTCCTTCTCTGAGATCCCCAGTTCTCTCCACTCCGAATAAATAAACATTTATTTCCCCATGAAGTATCACATCTTTTATGTCCAATTTAGGTAATCCAACCTGTAAGCAATCATATCTCTTTTGATACATAAAAAGGAGCCTTACTTTTTAAAAAGATCTGGTCTCTTCTGTCTATGACCAAATTCCCCAAGACAAGGAAGTCTGAGTGAGGGATATTTGAATTAAACCACTCTGTCATACAACCTGAGCTTTCCTCATGCCTGTGAGCAATGTTAAGGGTGGCCTTCATCTTTTTATGTAGGTTATAAATGTAGGCATCCAGGAGCCTCATGAAGTCAAGACTCCCTCCTCCCTAGCTTGAATTCACATTTGACCGTCCTTTGGCTAACTCATGCTCTCTCTCTCTCTTTTTTTTTAACTTTTGTTTTAGGTTTAGGGGCACAAGTGCAGGTTTACTGTATAGGTAAACTTGTGTCATGGAGGTTTGTTGTACAGATTATTTTGTCACCCAGGTACTAAGCCTAGTACCCAGTAGTTATTTTTTTCTGCTCCTCTCCCTCCTCCCAACTTCCACCCTGAAGTAAACCTGTTTCTGTTGTTCCCCTCTTTGTGTCAATGTGTTCTCCTATTTCACTCCCAATTATAAGTGAGAACATGCAGCATTTCATTTTCTGTTCCTGTGTTAGTTTGCTAATGATAATGGCCTACAGCTCCACCCATATTCTTGCAAAAGACATGATCTTGGTTTTATGGCTGCATAGTGTTTCATGGTATATATATCACATTTTCTTCCAATCTGTCATTGACGGGCATTTAGGTTGATTCCATGTCTTTGCTACTGTGAATAGCGCTGCAATGAACATTCACATGCGTGTGTCTTTATGGTATTAATAAAGACATATTATTAAATATACATGGCATATAATAAAGCCATATACGGCATTTATGGGCATATACGCAGGAATGGGATTGCTGGGTCAAATAGTAGTTCTGTTTTTAGCTGTTTGAGGAATCACCACACTGCTTTCCACAATGGTTGAAATAATTTACATTCCCACCAACAGTGTATAAGCACTCCCTTTTCTCCACAATCTTGCCAGCATCTGTTGTTTTTTGATGTTTTAGTAATGACCATTCTGACTGGTGTGAAATAGTATCTCATTGTGGATTTGATTTGCATTTCTCCAATAATCAGTGATACTGAGCTTTTCTTTATATGCTTGGGCAAATTTATTCTCAGTTTCCATCAATCTCTATTGGCATTTACCCCAAGGGACTAAATGGTCTGTCTTGGTACCCCAAAGTTCCCTGCAAAATATCTAAATCAGATCCCACTACAACTCCTGATACAAAAAATACTTTAAGCAACAACCAAAGTCTAATGGGAAAATGAATGTTAATTAGATATATTAAGGCATGCTAACTGCTATAACAAGCCCTTAAATTTCAATAGTGTAACACAATAGAGGTTTCTTTCTTCCTGTTGTAAAGTCCAAAATCGTTGTTCCAGTCAGATCTCCTCTAGACAGTGACTGGGGACTCAGACTCCTACTCTTTTGTCTCCACCATTTTTAGCATGTGCTAAAAGTCACCATATTTATCTACATCAAAGAAAAGGAAGGAGAGAGTATAAAGTAGACCTCTTATTAACCACCTCTTTCTGGAAGTAACACACCTCAACTTTGTTCACATTCCCTTGCCTTTAAAGCTGTTGGAGCAGCTGCTTCATGGCTAATACCACTTTCTAAGGAACAGAATTACAGATCTTTGGTAGGCAGTTAGTCATCTCTACCACACATCAAGTGAGTGGGATTTTCACGATTCTAGAGCTTTCTTTGGGACTACTATAGCTGGGCCCAAGTGCAGAGTAAATAGACATAGATATGACATGAAGGGTGATGCTGAGTTGGAAAATGGGAGAGCAGGCATGGCAGAGGGTGGGCAGAACTGCCTCTTTGACATCTCCACTTGGGAACTCTCATAGGCATCTCCAGTTTAACATGTTCCCAAAGGAGCCCTTTGCCTACTCTGTCTGCCATGCCTGGCCTATAGCTACCAACTCTCTCTTCTCCCCACCATGACCTTGTTAGTAATTACCACTATCAGCTACCCAGGGCCCAGGTGAGAATCCCAGGGATCACCCTTTCTTTCTTTCCCTCTTTTGGATTCTCAATTTAATCTATTCTCAAATTCTGTTGACTCTACTTCCTTCTACACTATATTTAAAATATGTCTGGTTCTTCCTATCTCTTCTGTCATTGCTCTAGTCTAAGCTGCCATTATCTCTAATTCATAATATCTGCAACAGCTTCCTAGTGGTTCTCACTGTGTCTACTCTTGTGCCCTTTAATTCATTTTCTACAAAAGGAACCAAGAGATCTTTTTAAAGATTTAATCACATTTAATTTAAATGTGATTTATTTAAAAATAAAAAATCAAATTTAATCATATTAACCTGCTCCTGAATCTCTTAATAATGTTCCATTGCACCTAGAACAAATTTCAAATACCATAACATGGGCTACAAGATTTTTCTAGGTTGAGAGTCCTATCTGATCTTCCAACTTCATCCAGGACCACTTTGGGTTTTTTCGAGGTGGGATAGTGGGGGCGGGTATTCATCCCCTCAAGCATTTATCATTTCTTTTTGTTACAAGCATTCCAATTATACTTAGTAATTTTAAAATATACAATGAATTGTTATTGATCATAGTCATCCTGTAGTGCTATCAAATACTAGATCTTATTCATTCTGTCTAACTATATTTTTGTACCCATTAACTGTCCCCACTTTCCTTCCTCTCCCCACCACCCTTCCCAGTCTCTGGTAACGAGCATTCTACCATCTATCTCCATGAGTTCAATTGCTTTAATTTTTAGCTCCTACAAATAAGTGAGTACATGTAAAGTTTGTCTTTCTGTGCCTGGCTTGTTTGACTTAACATAATGACCTCCAGTTCCATCCATGTTGTTACAAATAACAGGATCTCATTCTTTTTATGGCTGAATAGTACTCCATTGTGTATACGTACCACATTTTCTTTATCCATTTGTCTATTGATGGACACTTAAGTTGTTTCCAAATCTTTGTCATTGTGAATAGTGCTGCAATAGAAATACAGGTGCAGATATCTCTTCAATATACCATTTCCTTTCTTTTGGGCATATACCTATCAATGGGATTGCTGGATCACATAGTAGTTCCATTTTTAGTTTCTTGAGAAATCTCCAAACTGTTCTCCACAGTGGCTGTGCTGATTTATATTCCCACCAATAGTGTAGACAAGGGTTCCCTCTTCTCCACATCCTCACCAGCGTTTGTTATTGCCTGTCTCTTGGATAAAATCCATTTTAACTAAAACGAGACCACACCTCATTGTAGTTTTGATTTGCATTTCTCTGATGATCAGTGATGTTGAGCAACTTTTCATATACCTGTTTGCCATCTGCATGTCTTCTTTTGAGAAATGTTTAGTCAGATCGTTTGCTCACTTCTTTTTTTTAATTTATTTTTTAAAATAATTTTTATTGTTAATGTTGGTGGGTACATAGTAGGTATATATACTTATGGGGTACATGAGATGTTTTGACATAGGCATACAATGCATAATAATCACATAATGGAAAATGGGGTATCCATCTCCTCAAGCAGGTATCCTTTCTATTACAAACAAACCAATTGTTACTCTTTTAGATATTTTTACATGTACAATTATTATTGACTACAGTTACCCCTTTGTGCTATCAAATACTAGGTATTATTCATTCATTCTTTTTTTTTTTTTTTTTTTGGACTCATGAACCACCCCCCACCTCCCCCTCAACCCCTAGTCTCCAATGCCACTCTCAGCCTCTGGTAACCATCCTTCTACTCACTATCTCCATGGGTTCAATTTTGATTTTTAGTTCCACAAATAAGTGAGAACATGTGATGTTTGTCTTTCTGTGGCTGGCTTATTTCACTTAAAATGAAGACCTCCAGCTCTATCCATGTTGTTGCAAATGACTGAATCTCATTCTTTTTATGGCTGAATAGTACCCCATTGTGCAAAAGTACCACATTTTCTTTATCCATTCATCTGTTGAAGGACCCTTATGTTGTTTCCAAATCTTGACTATTGTGAACAGAGCTGCAGCAAACATGGAAGTGCAGATATTTCTTCGATAGACTGATTTCCTTTCTGGTAGGTACATACCCAGGAGTAGGATTGCTGGATGGTATGGTGGTTCTATTTTTAGATTTTTGAGGAACCTCTAAAGTGTTCTCCATAGTGATTGTACTAATTTACATTCCCATCAACAGTGTATGAGGGTTCCTTCTTCTCCACATCCTTGTCAGCATTCATTATTGCTTGTTTTTTGAATAAAAGCCATTTTATTAACTGGGATGAGATGACATCTCATTGTAGTTTTGATTTGCATTTCTCTGATCAATGATGTTTAGTGCCTTTTCACATACCTGTTTGCCATTTGTATATCTTCTTTTAAGAGATGTCTATTCAGATCTTTTGTCCATTTTTAATCAAATTATTAGATTTTTTCCTTCTAGAGTTGTTTGAGCTCCTTATATATTCTATTTATTAATTCCTTGTCAGATGGGTAGTTTGCAAACATTTTTTCCCATTCTGTGGGCTACCTTTTCACTTTGTTGATTGCCTTCTTTGCTGTGCAAAAGCTTTTTAACCTAATGTGATCCCATTTGTCCATTTTGCTTTGGTTGCCTGTGCTTCTGGGGTATTACTCAAGAAATCTTTGCCCACTCTAATGTCCTGAAGAGTTTTTGCAATGTTTTCTTCTAGTAGTTTCATAGTTTGAAGTTTTTGATTTAAATATTTAATCCATTTTGATTTGATTTTTTAATATGGTGAGAGATAGGGATCTAGTTTCATTCTTCTGCAAGTGGATATCCAGTTGCCCCACACCATTTTTTAAGACTGTTCTTTCTCTAACGTATATTCTTGGCACTTTTATTGAAGTGAGTTCACTGTAGGTGTATAGATTTATTTCTTAGTTCTTGATTCTATTCCATTGGTCTGTGTCTGTTTTTATGCCACCACCATGCTGTTTTGGTTACTATAGCTCTGTAGTATAATTTGAAGTCAGGTAATGTGATGCCTGCTGTTTTGTTCTTTTGCTCAGGGTGGCTTTGGCTCTTCTGGGTCTTTTGTAGTTCCATATAAATTTTAGGATTATTTTTTCTATTTCTGTGACCAATGTTGTTGGTATTTTGATAGAGATTGCATTGAATCTGTTGATTTCTTTGGGTAGTATGGAAATTTTTAACAATATTGATTCTTTTAATCCATAAACATGGAATGTCTTTCCATTTTTTGGTGTCTTCTTCAATTTCTTGCATCAATATTTTATAGTTTTCATTGTAGAGATATTCCACTTCTTTGGTTCAGTATATTCCTAGGTATTTTATTTTATTTGTAGCTATTGTAAATGAGATTACTTTCTTGATTTTTCAGAATGTTCACTGTTGGCATATAAAAATAATTTTTGTATGTTGAGTTTGTATCCTGTGACTTTACTGAATTTGTTTATCAGTTCTAATAGTTTTTTGGTGGAGTAGTTAGTATTTTCCAAAGATTAGATCACATCATCTGCAAACAATAATAATTTGACTTCTTCCTTTCCAAGGAAGAAAAGGGCTTTTTTTGGATTCCCTTTATTTCCTTCTGTTGTCTGATTGCTCTAGCTAGGATTTCCAGTACTATGTTGAATTATAGTGATGAAAGTGGGCATCCTTGTCTTGCTCAAGATCTTAGAGGAAAGGCTCTCAGTTTTTCCCCATTTAGTATGATACTAGCTGTGGGTCTGTCATATATGACTTCTATTGTGTTGGAGTATGTTGCTTCTCTACCCAGTTTTTTTTAAGTTTTAATCATGAAATGATGTTGAATTTTATCAAATGCTTTTTCAGCATCAATTGAAATGATTTTATGTTTTTTGTCCTTCATTCTGTTGATGTGATGTAACACACATTGATTTGCATATGTTGAACTGTTCTTGCATCCCTGGGATAAATTCCACTTAGTCATGGTGAATGATCTTTTTAATGTGTTGTTGAATTCAGTTTGGTCATATTTTGTTGAGGATTTTTGTATCACTATTCTGATATCAGAGATATTGGCCTGTAGTTTTCTTGTTTTGGATGTGTCCTTGCCTGGTTTTTGTATCAGAGTAATATCAACCTCATAGAATGAGTTTGAAAGTATTCCCTCCTGCTGTATTTTTCAGAATGGTTTCAATAGGATTGGTATTAGCTCTTCTTTAAATGTTTGGTAAAATTCGTCAGTGAAGCCATTGTGTCCCAGGCTTTACTTTGCTGGGAGAATTTTTTATGGCTTTGATATTGTTACTTGTTATGGATCTATTCTGATTTTGGATTTCTTCATGGTTCAATCTTGGTAGGTTGTATGTATCTATGAATTT